>NW_003315963.1:0-155864 GCF_000001405.40 Homo sapiens | reverse complement strand
GAATTCCTTCTGATCCGTAAAATTTGCAGCCCCAGCACTAAGTTCCATTAGCATCTTGGCGATCTCAGGCTTTATGGCCGAGGTCAGCCGACTGGCTGCTTCCATGACATGCTCCTGCACATCTTTGAGCTGTGTGGCTGCCTTTGAGTAGTGAGAGTTCCTGAACACAGTGCTGAAGAGATCTGTGAGGAAAGTACTGGCACGGCAGAAGACGTTCAGGGCATCCAGATACTTGGAGATGCCCTGCTGGATGTCGGCGATAGGAGTAGTGTGGGGCATGGCATGGTGGCAGCTGCCTGCAGCGGTCAGACTGCCCAGGGGGGCAGTGGTGGCCGTGGATGCCAGGGGAGCACTCAGTGCTCGGCCCAGCTCAGGCATCGGGTATTGCTGGTGCTGCTGCACCTTCTGCTTGGACCCGCCAAGCAGGAAGCGCCGCTTGTAGTCCATTTTACTGTCCTGGGCACTGCAGCAATACATGCGGGAGGGGGAATTGTCCCAGCAACCGTAAGTGGGTCAGGGTTCTGATTCTTCTTTCTCAAAACTGTAGCTAGGTATAAAAATAGTGGAGTTCTGCAAATCGAAGTTTTAAAAAAGGCATTTCCATGAGGCAGGTGACCATGTGATCCAATGTAGAGGTGAGAGACAACAGGTTTATATAATTAATATTTTCAGTGTAGACAGGATCTCTGACAAAAAATAAAAGATGTCCAAAATGCTGGATAAGAACTGTTTAGCATTCCACTCTCTTACTAAAAGGATATGCTTGCTGAGAAAAATGTTTACTTCTTTGCAAGAATATTTTGATACTTGTATTTACAATGGCAGAAAAATAACTTAACGTTTAAAAATGTAATATAATGTAATACACTGTGTCTTCAATATACCCAAAAAAGTTAGAACCCAAAAACCCAGAAGCTGATCAACAGCAATTTAAAAGCAGTAAAGAATTACTTCACACAAAGTCCTTAAGAAGGAAGATCAAACTTCTGCAGAATTTTGACAGAGCCTGCCCGTCAAATCCGTTTACCTGTAAGGCTGCTTCTATGCAATGCTGAAATTCTCCAAATTTCCTCTAATGTTTCCTGAAAACAAGTTTTTCTTTTTTTTTTAAATGGCGTTTGTTGTAAGTCTCCTCCTCCATTCCTTTTGTTTGCTGAGGTAGCGGTTTCCTTGTAACATTAATAAGAGATGCTTCCAGACTGGGCTGGCCCTCAGTTGTAAAGTCTGAAGCAAGAATGCACAGATGTATTTGTAAGGCTTCTAAGTCCTTTCCTGTCGGGGGGAAAAATAAGATAAAGTGAGGAAGGCTACAGTAATTCTGGACAATAACTCCTGTGATGCTATTATCCACACAGGTGGGCTACAAATGAATAAGAAATCATATTATAACCTTAGAGGAGCAGGTACAATAGTGAGCACTGAACTATGAAATGATGACTGTTAGAAAATTCCTCAAGTAGTAATACAAAAACAATGCAACCAAAAAAGTATGATTCTAGACTGGCCCCTTCAAAGCTGAGGCTGGCACGTTGAACAGGGCCTGGATCCACGTTCAGCATTTTCTCCTTTCCTCTTTGAAGAGCTCACAAGCTTCAGGAGGATCACATGAGTACTCAGATTATGGTGAGGGCTGTTGACACACACAGCACTCATAAACTTTATGGGGCATCAGCAAAGGCAGAGATGGGCAAAGGGCAAGGGAAATCAAAAAGGTTGTTACGAAAAAAATATTCTTCTGAGGTAGGCCTTGATTGTAGGATAGGTTTGGACAAGTGCAAAAGGGACAGGTGGGACTCACAAGGTAAAGGACCACCACGGCAAAGGTCCCAAAGTAGGACGGGACAGTCGGATACCAAGCTGGGCTTAAGTGCAGGGTGCAGAAACAGAGCCTGGAGAAGGGAGTGGCTGGCAGGCGGTTTACAGACACGATTCTTCCAATCCTCACTCCGGTACCAGTTTCCCTCTGGGTGTGCAGAGCGGGAGCCTGGCAAGGTATACCAGTTTCACACCTTGGGTGGCTTCTTAGAACCCCTGACTCTGGATAGGTTCAAATAGCAGAATCTGGATATCGCTGGTTGTAGTTTCTGATACCTACAACAGCGGAATACTGTGACTCTTCTCATAAAGCTAAAATCAGGAATAACATTTGCTTGAAACCATCTGCTCTCCCAAACAAAAGTTCAAATACGTTTCACTGAAAGTCACATTTACCACATATTTAACTTATTATTATTATTTTTTTTGAGATGGAGTCTTGCTGTTGCCCAGGCTGGAGTGCAGTGGCGTGGTCTCAGCTCACCACAACCTCCGCCTCCCAGGTTCCAGTGATTCTCCTGCCTCAGCCTCCTGAGTAGCTGGGATTACAAGCGCCCACCATGCCTGGCTAATTTTTGTACTTTTAGTAGAGATGGGGTTTCACCATGCTGGCCAGGCTGGTCTCGAACTCCTGACCTCAGGTGATCCACCCGTCTCGGCCTCCCAAAGTGCTGGGATTACAGGCCTGAGCCACTGCGCCTGGCCAACTTTTTTTTTTTTTTGAGACAGAGTCTCACTGTGTTACCCAGGCTAGAGTGCAGTGGCATGACCTTGGCTTACTACAGCCTCGAACTCCTAGGCCCAAGCAATCCTCCTGCCTCAGTCTCCGGAGCAGCTGGGACTACAGATGTACCACCATGCTTGGTTAATTTTTGTATTTTTTGTAGAGACGAGGTTTCGCCATGTTGCCCAGGCTGGTCTCAAACTCCTGAGCTCAAGTGATCCTCCCGCCTCAGCCCAAAATGCTGAGATTACAGGCATGAGCCACCGTGCTTGACCACATATTCAACTGCAACCTATGTAATGGTGGTATATAGTTTCGTCTACTTATTGATAACCAGGTTTTCTATTTTCCTTTTTTGAATATATAATTAAATGTAACTCATACTTCGTCACTTATGGCCAATTACCATAATTCCTTTGTATTTCTATGATTGTGTTGGCAACACAGGAATTAGGTAGGTTACAAAGGCAAGAGATGAGAAGGACACTGTGGATACAAACACATAACATATAAAGTCAATAAAACAACCATTATTTATGGCTCTATGTTCAACAAAATTTGAGCTCTTTAAAAAAAATCTCATAAACTTTTCAAGAAACAAATATCAAATGGCTACTTGTAAAAAATGTGTTCCAAAATGTTTTCTTTTTTCAAATTCATGACAAATAAGGCAATCACATCTATCCCCACCCGAGTGCTCCACAATTTATAGATTCTGATATACAACAGAAGCACTCTACAGGAATGCTGAAGCGGGGCAGGCTGTTCCCGTGGAGACTCTGTGGCCTCTGAAGGAAAACCTTCACCTGAGTTGGCCACAGTGAGTGTCTTATGCAGCCCTGAGAAACACTCTATCTTTGTTCAGTGGTGCACCAGCTTCCTAGTTCCTCTACCGCGGCTGCCTCTGGCTCTAGGAGAGCCTGCCCCCATTCCTTTGACAGATCTGGAAGACCAAGTGAGACCTATATGCTTACCTAATTAAAAAACCACAAACATTAAACTCTTTTTCACTTTACATACTTCCAAACTTTCTCTAAATGAAACTTATAATGCTTAAAGTTATACTATTTCACCAAATTCATCTACAGATTCAACACAATTTTTATCAAAATATTTTTTTTTTTGAGACAGAGTTGTGCTCTGTCGCCCAGTCTGGAGTGCAGTGGCACAATCTCAGCTCACTGCAACCTCCACCTCCAGAGTTCAAGTGATTCTCCTGCCTCAGCCTCCCAAGTAGCTGGGATTACAGGTGCGCGTCACAGTGCCTGGCTAATTTTTTGTATTTTTAGTAGAGATGAGGTTTCGCCATATTGGCCAGGCCGGTCTCAAACTCCTGGCCTCAAGTGATCCACCCACCTCGGCCTCCCAAAGTGCTGGAATTACAGGCGTGAGCCACCATGCCGGCCTCAAAATTTCAATTACCTTTTCTACAGAAATGGGCAAGCTGACCCCAAAATTCATTTGGAAGCCAGGAGTGGTAGTGCATGCCTGCTGTCCTAGGTACTTAGAGGTGGCCAAGGTGAGAACATCACTTGAGCCCAGGAGTCTAAGAGCAGCCTGGGCAACACTGCAAGACTCTGTCCCCAAAAATAAAACAAAGCCCTAAAATCATATAAAAATGTGAGGGTTCCAGTTCTAGGTGCTTCGGGAGCTGCGGCTTAAGGTACAGACAGGGCCAAGTCCAAGAACCATACCACACACAACCAGTCCCGAAAATGGCACAGAAATGCTATCAAGAAACCCCGATCACAAAGATACAAATCTCTTAAGTGGATGGACCCCAGGTTCCTGAGGAACATGCACTTTGCCAAGAAGCACAAGAAGGGCCTCAAGAAGATGCAGGCCAACAATGCCAAGGCCATGAGTGCACGTGCCGAGGCTATCAAGGCCCTCGTAAAGCCCAAGGAGGTTAAGCCCAAGATCCCAAAGGGTGTCAGCCACAAGCTCGATCGACTTGCCTACATTGCCCACCCCAAGCTTGGGAAGTGTGCTCGTGCCCGCACTGCCAAGGGACTCAGGCTGTGCCGGCTAAAGGCCAAGGCCAAGGATCAAATCAGCGCCCAGACTGCAGCTCCAGCTTCAGTTCCAGCTCAAGCTCCCAAAGGTGCCCAGGCCCCTACAAAGGCTTCAGAGTAGATATCTCTGTCTACAAATGTGAGAACAGAAGGACTGCTGCGACCCCCTCGGGCTGCCGTCTGCATGGGGCGGGGATCCTCCTGTGCTATTTGTACAAACAAACTGACGCAAGAAAAAAAAAAAGCGAGGGATCCAGGATGACTAAAACAAATACTGAAAGAAAAAATGTTGTAAAAGTAA
Source organism: Homo sapiens (assembly GCF_000001405.40). NCBI lineage: Eukaryota > Metazoa > Chordata > Mammalia > Primates > Hominidae > Homo > Homo sapiens. Next base: position 151,009 of record NW_003315963.1, on the reverse strand, counting down.
TATTTCCTGATTTCAAAATCTACTATAAAGCTATAGTAACCAAAGCAGTGAAATACTGGCATAAGGAAAGATGTATAAATCAATGGAGTAGAATTAGAAGTCCAGAAATAAACCCATACATCTACAGTCAACTGATTTTAGACCAGGATGCCAAAAACATCCAGTGGGGAAAGAACAGTCTCTTCAATAAATGGTGATGGGACAACTAAATATCCACATGAAAAAATGAATCTGGACCCCGACCTCACATCATATACAAAAATTAGGCTGGGTGTAGTGGCTCAAGCCTGTAATCCCAGCACTTTGAAAGGCTGAGACAAGAGGATCGCTTGAGGCCAGGAATTTGAGACTAGTCTGAACAACAGAGCAAGACCCCATCTCTACAAAAAATTTAAAAAATTAGCTGGTCATGGTGGTGTGCACCTGTAGTCTCTGCTACTTGGGAGGCTGAGGGAGCAGTATCACTTGAGCCCAGGAGTTTTAAGCTGCAGTGGGCCATGATTACACCACTGCACTCTAGCCTGGGTGACAAAACAAGACCCTGTCTCGAAAACAAAACAAAACAAAACAAAACAAAACACCAAGAGATACAAGATTCATGAAAATAAAAGCCTAAAAAGGGGAGGGAAAGAGTATCATCAAAAATGGCAGAATAAGGACTTTCCCTGACCAAAATTCTCTACTACATAAAAACAATGAAAAATTGGCAAAATAATAGAATCACCTTTTTCAGAACTCTGGAAATAGGCTTTTAGCAAACTGGGGATAATTTATCAAAGATAAATAGCTGAATCCTGGTAAGAACAGTGAGTTTTGTAGCATTTTAACTTGACTGAGTCCCATTCCTAGCTCTCCAGCTCCATAATAGCCTTGAAAACTACCAGCTGCATCCACATTGAAGACCAGAAGACTGGCAGTTACCAGAGGAAGCAGAACTGGGCTACAGCTCCTTCAAAGTACCATTCCCAGGAAATTGGCATTATTTAACCTGTCTGGTGGTTCCCCAAAATACCCCATTTGCAAATATCTCTGTATTTTACCTGACTTAGAGCTCATCTGGAGAGGGAGGAGAATCTGATTTTCAGAGTTGCCACATTATGTCATTAAAAATGTCCAGTTGGCTGGCCACAGTGGCTCAAGCCTGTAATCCCAGTGCTTTGGGAGGCCGAGGTGGGCAAATCACCTGAGGTCAGGGGTTCAAGGCCAGCTTGGCCAACATGGTGAAACCCTGTCTCTACTAAGAATACAAAAAAAATTAGCCAGGTGTGTTGCTGCCCACCCATAGTCCCAGCTACTCAGGCAGTTGAGGCATGAGAATTGCTTGGATCACACCACTGTACTCCAGCCTGGGCGACAGAGAGAGACTCTGTCTGAAAATAATAATAAAATAAAATGTCCAGTTTTCAACAAAAAATTGGAAGATATGCAAAGAAACAAAAGAATATAGCCCATATAAAGGGAAAAAACAACAATAGAAAACTCTTCCCAAGGGAAGCCCAGATATTGGACTTAACAGACAAGAGTTTAAGTCAATTTAAGTATGTTCAAAGAACTAAAAGAAACCACATTTAAAAAGTGTGAGGAAAATATAAGAATAATGTCTCCCAAAACAGAATATTAATAAAAGATAGCAACGATTTTTTATTTTATTTCACTTTTTTTTTTTGCTTTTAGAGATGGGGTCTCTCTCTGTCACCCAAACTGGAGTATAGTCATACAATCATGGCTCATTGCAGCCTTGACCTTCTGGGCTCAAGCAATCCTCCACCTCAGCCTCCTCAGGGGCCAGGACCTCAGGCATGCACCACCATGCCCACCTAATTTTCTTTTTTTTTTTTTGTAGAGACAGGGTCTCACTATGTTGTCCACGCTGGCCTTGAACTCGTGACCCCAAGCCATCTTCCTACCTTGGCCTCTAAAAGTGTTGGGATTATAGGTGTGAGCCACCATGCTCAGCCTACTCAAGCCTATACATGTAAGGCACAGTCCACCTGATAATTTAGAAGCACATAATTTATAAAAATAAGTTTATGCAACCGGGCACAGTGGCTGACACCTGTAATCCCAGCACTTTGGGAGGCTGAGGCAGATGGATCACCTGAGAGGTCAGGAGTTAGAGACCAGCCTGGCCAACAGAAGGAAACCCCATTTCTACTAAAAAATACAAAAATAAGCCAGGTGTAGTGACGCGTGCCTATAATCCCAGCTACTCGGGAGGCTGAGGCAGGAGAATCACTCCAACCTGAGAGGCGGAGGTTGCAGTGAGCTGAGATCGCACCACTGCACTCCAGCCTGGGTGACAGAGTAAGGCTCCGTCTCAAAAAAAAAAAAAAAAAAAAAAAAAAGAAATATGTGTGTGTGTGTGTGTGTGTGTGTGTGTTTATATGTTTATGCTTCAAGAGGTTGGGCAAAGTGGCTCATACCTGTAATCCTAGCACTTTGGGAGGCCAAAGCAGGCAGATCACTTGAGCCCAGAAGTTCAACCAGCCTGGGCAACATGGCGAAACCCTGTCTCTACAAAAACATACAAAAATTAACCGGGCATGATGGTGTGCACCTGTGGTCCCAGCTACTCGGGAGGCTAAGGTGGGAGGATCACTTGAGCCTGAAAAGTTGAGGCTGCAGTGAACCATGATCACACCACTGCACTCCAGCCTGGAAAACAGAGAATCTGTCTTTAAAAAAAAAAAAATGCTCCAAGAGAACAATTACATCTGGTGAATCAAGAGAGAGAGGATCAAACAACTCATTTTTTATTTACTCCTTTTTTTCCCTTCAAGAGTGCTTCATTTTTGAAATGAAAAATTTTCCAAAAGCTAAACAAGTTGAAGAATTATGTTATTAGTCATTAACATTTACTTTAGTGCTAAGCTCACAGTGCAAATTTTTATAAATACGCCAATACACACTACAACTGTTTAGAGAGCAACTTAAGCTAATATGCATGTAAAAATCTCTTCACTGTTTAGTTTGCCATATGGCTGCTTTATCAAAACTGATTACTTCAGTAAGAAAGACAGTAACAAGTATTGATGAAGATGTGGAAACATCAAAACACTCATACATTGCATATAGGATTGTAAAATGGGCCGAATTCAGTAGCTCATGACTGTAATCCCAGCACTTTGGGAGGCAGAGGCGGGAGGATCATTTGAGGTCAGGGGTCAGAAACCAGCCTGGCAACATGGCAAAACCCTGTTTCTACTAAAAAATACAAAAATTAGCTGGGTGACTTGGGAGGCTGAGGCAGGAGAATGGCATGAACCCGGAAGGCGGAGCCTTGCAGTGAGCCGAGATCACGCCACTGCATTCCACCCTGGGTGATGGAGCGAGACTCAAAAAAAAAAAAAAAATTTAGCTGGGTGTGGTGGCACATGCCTGTAATCCCAACTATTCAGGAGGCTGAGGCAGGAGAATTGGTTGAACCAGGAGGCAGAGGTTGCAATGAGCCGAAATCGTGCCACTGTGCTCCAGCCTGGGTAACAGAGTGAGACGCTGTCTCAAAAAAAAAATAAAGTAAAATGGGATAGCTACTATGGAACAGTTTGGCAGGTCCTCAAAATGCTAAATATAGTGTTACCACATAACCCAGCAATTTCATTCCTATGTATATACCCAAGAGAAACGAAGAAATATGTCCAAACAAAAACCTGCACACAAATGTTCATAGCAGCATTATTCATAATAGTCAAAAGTAGTAACGACCCAATTGCTTATCAACTGACAAATGAATAAACAAATGTAGTACAGACATATAATGGATTATTTATTCAACTATAAAAAGGAATGAGGTTCTGATAAATGCTACAATATGGACGAACCTTAAAAACACTGTGCTAAGTGAAAGAAGCCAGACAAGGAGACTCCTATTGTATGAGTCTACTGATATGAAATGTCTAGAATAGGCAATCTACACAGATAAAAAAGTAGATCTGGGCGGGTGCGGTGGCTCACGCCTGTAATCCCAACACTTTGGGAGGCCAAGGGGGGCAGATCACTTGAGGCCAGGCATTTGAGACCAGCCTGGCCAACATGGTAAAACCCCGTCTCTACTAAAAATACAAAAAAAATTAGCCAGGTATGGTGGCACATGCCTGTAATCCCAGCTATTTAGGAGGCTGAGGCAGAAGAATCACTTGAACCTGGAGGTGAAGGGTGCAGTGAGCCAAGATGGTGCCACTGTACTCCAGCCTGGGCGAGAGAGTGAGACTCTGTCTCAAAAAAAAAAAAAAAAGTAGATTTATGGAATGAGGAGTCCTTGCTAATGTGTACAGCTTTTCTGGGGAGTGATGAAAATGTTCTGAAGTTAAATAGTGGTTGCTATGGCTTGAAATGTCATCCAAAGTTCTTGTATTGGAAACTTAATCCCCAGTGCAATAGTGTATAGACGTGAGACCTGTAAGAGATGATTAGGTCATGAAGGCTCTTGTCCTCCTGAATAGATTAATGGCATTATCACAGGAGTGGTTTAATTTATTGTGAGAGTGAATCTGTTACAGAAGTTCAACCATCTCTTGCTCTCTTGAGCTCTCCTGTCCTTCCACCTTTCGCCTTGGGGTGATGCAGTAAGAAGGCCCTCACCAGATGCCAATGCCATGACCTTGGACTTCCCAGAACCATGAGCCAAATAAACTAATTATGTGAATTATATCTCAATAAAACTAATTTTTAAAAAAGTATTACTTCATCTTTGTCACTTTCTTCACATAACTAACTTCTCATTTAATAGCAAAAACTAATAATAATAAATAAGTTTTCCAGGGATGACTTTAGTGCCAGACTTAGTCTCCTTTTTGTACATCAATCAGAAAAGTGTGCACGTGGTTCCTGACTTACAATGGCTTGACTTACAGTTTTGCTACTTTACAATGGTAAAAAAGCAATATGCGGCTGGGCGCGGTGGCTCACACCTGTGATCCCAGCACTTTGGGAGGCTGAGGTGGGTGGATCACCTGAGGTCAGGAGTTTGAGACCAGCCTGGCCAACATGGTGAAAGCTCGTATCTACTAAAAAATACAAAAATTAGTCGGGCATTGTGGCAGGCACCTGTAATCCCAGCTACCTGGGAGGCTAAGGCAGGATAATCGCTTGAACCTGGGAGGCGGAGGTTGCAGTGAACCAAGATCACACCACTACACTCCAGCCTGGGTGACAGAGTGAGACTCTGTCTCAAAAAAAAAAAAAAAAAAAAAAAAAAAAAAAAAAAAAAAAAAAAAAAAAAGCAATATGCTTTCAGTAGAAACTATACTTCAAGTTTTGAGTTTTGATCCAAATTTCTTTATAACTTTATCACAAAATAGACTTTGTAGCTGGGCATGGTGGCTTACAACAGTAATCTCAACGCTTTGGGAGGCCAAGCTGGAAAGATCATTTGAGGCCAGGAGTTCAAGACCAGCCCGGGCAACACAGAAAGACCCCACCTCTACAAAAAAATTTTTCAAATTAGCCAGGTCACCTATAGTCCCAGCTATTTCAGAGACTGAGGTGGGAGCATCATTTGAACCCAGGAGTTTGAGGTTACAGTGATCTGTAATTGTGCCCTTGTACTCCAGCCTGGGTAACAGAGTAAAACCCTGTCTCTAAGAGAGAGAGAGAGAAAAAAAGGCTTTGTGGTAGATGATTTTGCCAAACTGCAGGCTAAAGTGAAGTCCTCTTAGCACATTTCAGGTAGGCAAGGCTAAGCTATGACGTTTGGTACATTAGGAATATTAAATGCATTTTCTTTTCTTCTTTTTTTTTTGAGACAGGGTCTGGCTCTGTCACCCAGGCTGGAGTACAGTGGTGCAATCTTGGTTCACTGCAAGCTCCGCCTCCTGGGCTCAAGCCATCCTCCCACCTCAGCCTCCTGAGTAGCTGGGGCTACAGGCATACAGCACCACGCCCAGTTAATTTTTGTATTTTTTATAGAGCTGGGTTTCACCATGTTCCCCAGGCTGGTCTTGAGCTCCTGAGCTCAAGCGATCCTCCTGCCTCAGCCTCCCAAAGTGCTGGAATTACAGGCATCAGCCACTGCGCCCGGTCCTTACATTTTCAACTTAGGATATTTTCAACTTATGAGAGGTTTATCAGGACATAAACTCCCATCATAAGTCAAGGAACATCTGCATTTGAGTGCTGCCATCCAGCATCTGTGAATGTTAAGTGCCAAAAAGGCCCTTCATGATCATCTAACTTAAACCCTTCAATTTATATATTAAAAAGGGGATTCAGGACATTAAAGGTCTTGCACTAGACCACATGTAGTCTCAGAATCAAACTCAGGTATCTTGACTCTCAGAACTTCAAACTGGCAGACAGATCAAGCTATGCTGCAGTAACAAATCCTGAAATAAATGGCTTAACCTAATATTTACTTTTTTTTATTTTTTTTTTTGAGACAGAGTCTAGCTCTGTCACCAGGCTGGAGTGCAGTGGCATGATCTTGGCGCACTGCAACCTCTGCCTCCTGGGTTCAAGCGATTCTCCTGCCTCAGCCTCCTGAGTAGCTGGGATAACAGACACGCGCCACCACACCCAGCTAATTTTTGTATATTTAGTGGAGACGGGATTTCACCATGTTGGCCAGATGGTCTCGATCTTCTGACCTTGTGATCCGCCCACCTCGGCCTCCCAAAGTGCTGGGATTACAGGCATGAGCCACCATGCCTGGCCTTGGAGATGGAATCTTGCTCTGTCACTCAGGCTGGAGTGCAGAGGTGAGATCCTGGCTCACTGCAACCTACCTGGTCTTGAGCTCCTGAGCTCAAGTGATTCTCTTGCCTCAGCCTCCACAGTAGCTGGAACTACAGGCATGCATCACCAAGCCCAGCTAATTTTTGTATTTTTGGTAGAGATAGGGTTTCACCATGTTGCGCAGGCTGGTCTCAAACTCCTGACCTCAACTGATTCCTGCCTCAGCCTCCCAAAGTGCTGGGATTATAGGCGTGAGCCGCCATGCCCAACCAGATTTACTTTTTGTTTTTGAGACGGAGTCTTGCTCTGTTGCCCAGGCTGGAGTGCAGTGGTGCAATCTTGGCTCACTGCAACCTTCACCTCCTGGGTTCAAGCAATTCTCCTACCTCAGCCTCCTGAGTAGCTGGGAGATCACAGGCACACACCACCATGCCCAGCCAATTTTTGTATTTTTGGTAGAAACAGGGTTTCACCATGTTGGCTAGGCTGGTCTCGAACTCCTGGCCTCAACTGATCCGACTGCCTCGGCCTCCCAAAGTGCTGGGATTACAGGCATGAGCCAAGGCGCCCAGCCCAGATTACTTCTTGTTCACAAAAATTCACTGTGGGTCTAGCAGCCCTTCTTCAGCTTACAGGGACACTACTAGAACTTATGTCTCCCATGGTTGCCCTAGCACAGAAAAAGAAAGTCAAAACTCATACCCACTCTTTAATACTTCCCACTGAAAGTGACACACATCACCTCCCTTCAAAGCCCTTTGGCTTTGAGGTGGTTGCATGTCAAAGGCCACCATCAAAGGCCAGAGGTGGTTGCGTGGTACCAATTCCACTATATGAGAGGTAGAGAAATGTAGGGGAAAATACAGACTAGCGGGCAAGCCCTACAGTCGGCCACAGCTCTCCACACAGCCCAGCTGTGTGTTGTATGGTTCTGCCCAGACGAAAGCAATTCTGATTGCACACAGGGGAGGCTGTTTTGTAATGGGGAGGCCCCACAGTTGTTCTCCAGAGGTTGCTCCAGGACATCATTCTTTCTTGTATGTATGGAAACTGAAGGGGTGGAAGATGGTGGGGGAAGAGTCACAGTTTCCTTTGAGAAATTGAGGAAAGGAAACTTTAGTCAAACACACTTCCCAAACACCACAGTTTCCATTCAGTTTTGGAACTGCAGCCTCAGGTGAAGAACTAACTGCTTTCTACACTCCCCACGCTTCCTTTTCTTTCAGAGGAAGCTACATACAGCTGGAAGCACCAGATGACTTTTTGTAAACTGAGCTTCCTGCACTTCCTGTACCTAGTGTTGGTCCAACAGGTGACCAAGCAGGGGAGGCCTAAGGCTTGGACTAAAGAATTTAGTGGAACCACAGAGAAAAACACGAGATCCTTTGCAATCATACTACCCACTATGCACCTATGTTGTCAGGGTGTGGTCATCAGACCACAGCATCAGAACTGAATTGCCCACAACTAAGGGTGCACCTGTGTTACGGACTGAATGTTTCCCCAAAAATGCATATGTTGAAATCTAATTCCCATTGTGATGGTATCTGGAGGTAGGGCCTTTGGAAGGTATTTAGGTCATGAGGGTGCAGCCATCATAAATGAGATTAGTGCCCTTATAAAAAGAGGCCAGTTCACTCTCTTTCTGCCATATGAGAACATGGTAAGTCAGCAGTCTGCATCCCGAAAGAGGGTTCTCATGAGAACCTGACAGTGCTGGCACCCTGATCTTAAACCTCCAGACTTTGGAACTGTGAGAAATAAGCTTCTGTTGTTTATAAGCTACCCAGTCTATAGTACTTTGTCAAAGCAGCCTGAACTAAGACAACCTCTGTGACAGTAAATCTGTCTGTAGGCAGTAAAAGTCTATGTGGGGTTGTCATAACACTCACTGAGCATGTTAAAGGATGAAAACATTTTTAGCAATTTTTTTCACCACCTACCAACCTTAGTAAAACTAGGATGAGGGCTGGACACAGTGGTGCCCATCTGCAGTCCCAGCACTTTGGGAGGCCAAAGCAGGAGGGTCACTTGAGTCCAGGACTTCGAGTCCAGTCTGGGCAAAATAGTGAGATCTTGTCTCTAAACAAACAACAACAAAAAAACCTAGTAGCAGCCAGTGAAAACCAACAATGGCTTTTAAGGACTTCCTTCTCTGATACTAGAATCAGGATAGCACCCTTCCTGGAATGACTATTTAAATACTGATTACTGGGATGCAATCCAAATCTAACGAATCAATCTTTGGGAGAGAAGCAGAGAATACACTTTTTTTTTTTTTTTTTTTGAGACAGTCTTGCTCTGTCTCCCAGGCTGGAGTGCAGTGGCGCAATCTCGGCTCACTGCAAGCTCCGCCCCCTGGGTTCACGCCATTCTCCTGCCTCAGCCTCCTGAGTAGCTGGGACTACAGGCGCCCGCCACCATGCCCGACTAATTTTTTGGAGAATACACTTTTTTAACAAGTTCCCCAGATGATTCTGATGTATGCTATAATTTGAGAGCCAAACTGGGGGTCCACTGAAAATCTGCTGACAGCCACAAGAATGAGGACGCCTGATGATGCCGACTGTAGTGCAACTCAGGGATTCTCACCAATATTCCTGTGTATTCAAGAATACACAAAGGCCGGACATGGTGGCTCACGCCTGTAATCCCAGCACTTTGGGAGGCCGAGGCGGGCGGATCACGAGGTCAGGAGATCGAGACCATCCTGGCTAACACGATGAAACCCCATCCCTACTAAAAATACAGAACATTAGCCCGGCGTGGTAGCGGGCGCCTGTAGTCCCAGCTACTGGGAAGGCTGAGGCAGGAGAATGGCGTGATCCCGGTGCCACTGCACTCCAGCCTGGGCGACAGAGCCAGACTCCGTCTCAAAAAAAAAAAAAAAGAATACAGAAAGGTTGGCTGGGCACGGTGGCTCACACCTGTAATCCCAGCACTTTGGGAGGCCAAAGTGGACAGATCAAGAGGTCAGGAGATCGAGACCATCCTGGCTAACACGGTGAAACCCTGTCTCTACTAAAAATACAAAAAATTAGCCAGGTGTGGTGGGATGCACCTGTAGTCCCAGCTACTCGGGAGACTGAGGCAGGAGAATGGCATGAACCCGGGAGGCAGAGCTTGCAGTGAGCCGAAATCATGCCACTGCACTCCAGCCTGGGCAACAGAGCGAGACTCCGTCTCAAAAAATAATAATAATACAGAAAGGCACCTCCCTTCCAAAGTGATAAATAAGTTTTTTTGTTTTGTTTTGTTTGTTTGTTTGTTTTGAAACAGGGTTTCACCAGTCTCTGGCTGTTAAGCTCAAGCAATCCACCTGTCTCGGCTTTCCAGAGTGCTGGGATTACAGGCGTGTGCCACTGTGCCTGGCCACAACTCTTTTTCTGAGAACCAAGGGGCTGGTTACACAGATCAATGAAAAGTTCTGTTTGTAACATAATTGCTTCTAACAAGACTGCTCAAGTATCACAGTCACGCCTGGGGTTCCTACCCAAGCAGAGAGAAAAAACATTCAAAACATGTAAACTAGTTTTCGCTAATTCTTAACAGATCTGGTGTTCCTGTGCAGATCTTTGTTGTAATCAAAACTAGATAGTGTTGAATTTTTTTAAAATGTCATGGAACTGGCTGGTCACAGTGGCTCACGCCTATAATCCCAGCACTTTGGGAGGCCGAGGCAGCTGGATCACGAGGTCAAGAGATCGAGACCATCCTAGCTAACACGATGAAACAAACAAAAAAAAAAGGTCATGGAACTGAAATACATTCAAGATCTATCATTTTCTTTTTTCTTTTTTTGAGATGAAGTCTCACTCTGTTGCCCAGGCTGGAGTGCAGTGGTGCGATCTCGGCTCACTGCAACCTCTACCTCCTGGGTTCAGGCAATTCTCATGCCTCAGCCTCCTGAGTAGCTGGCATTACAGGTGCCCGATACCACGCCTGATTAATTTTTGTATTCTTAGTAGAGACAGGGTGTCACCACGTTGGCCAGGCTGGTCTCAAACTCCTGACCTCAAAGTGATCCGCCTGCCTCAGCCTCCCAAAGTGTTGGGATTACAGCCATGAGCCATCATGCCTGCCCGAGTTCTATCATTTTCAAATGACATTTTGCCAAGAAACAATGTACAGAGAAGGTGGTAATACCTACCTAAGCATTTGTCTTCATGGCAGTGATCATAATATCCCCTGACAAAATACTGTTGGAAGTTAGGTGATGGGTACATGAGGTGCATCATATCACTTGCTCCAATGTTGTATATGATTGAACATTTCTGAAACAAAATGTTGAAAATGCACACACAGACACACACACACACACGAACACCTGGATTTTATTATTTTATTTCTGTTTTTATTTATTTATTGAGACTGGGTCTGGCTCTGTCACCCAGGCTGGAGTGCAGTGGCGTGATCTCGGCTCACTGTAACCTCTGCCTCCTGGGCTCAGATGATCCTCCTACTGCAGCCTCCCCAGTAGCTGGGACTACAGGCATATGCCACCGTGCCCAGCTAATTATTATTATTATCATTATTTTAATAAAATTCTTCTTAATGCTGTCTAAATGTTTTTCACATGCTTCTCCACCCTCATATTTATCTGCCTGTCAGGCTAAAATATGTTCAAACCATTTAAGGACATTTCTTTTCCGTATTTTCTTAAAAAGAATTTTCACTGGGAAAACATTCACCATTTATGAATCCACTATTCATGCTGCATGGAAATAAATACGCATTGTGAAAGACCTCAGAAGTTAGTGTAGCCAAGACTTGTGAGATTTGTCATGTACTCTTAAGTTTTAATGCTACTTAAAAAATCAAATACATAGCAGAAAAGAACATTTTAAGTAACATCTTTTCAACATAATTTGCAAAAGTTCTCCACAGATTAAAACTGAATTCAGCCATAATTATATCATTTAAAATATTCATTTCTACAATTAGAGTCATCAGCGATTTCTATTTCAGGCAATAAAGGACATGCTTGAAACTACACGAAGGCCAGACATGGTGGCTCATGCCTGTAATCCCAGTACTTTGGGAGGCTGAGACGGGCAGATCACTTGAGGCCAGGAGTTTGAGACCAGTCTGGCCAACACAGTGAAACCCTGTCTCTACTAAAAATACAAAAATTAGCCGAGCGTGGTAGCACATGCCGGTAATTTCAGCTACTTGGGAGGCTGAGGCAGGAGAATCGCTTGGGAGGTGGAGGTTGCAGTAAGCCGAGATTGCACCACCGCACTCTAGCCTGGGTGACTGAGTGAGACTGTCTCAAAAAAAAAAAAAAAAAAAAAAAGAAAGCCGGGCCTGTAATCCCAGCACTTCCAGCACTTTGGGAGGCTGAGGCGGGCGGATCACGAGGTCAGGAGATCCAGACCATCCTGGCTAACACGGTGAAACCCCGTCTCTACTAAAATACAAAAAGTTAGCCAGGTATGGTGGCGGGCGCCTGTAGTCCCAGCTACTTGGGAGGCTGAGGCAGGAGAATGGCATGAACCTGGGAGGCGGAGCTTGCAGTGAGCCGAGATCATGCCACTGCACTCCAGCCTGGGTGACAGAGTGAGACTCCGTCTCAAAAAAAAAAAAAAAAAAAGAAAGAAAGAAAGAAACTAGATGAAGACTCAGTATTAGAGGATTTTCTTATACCTATGGTTGACAAGACATGAAAAGTGGTCAGCCATCCTAAGAAAATCTCTTGAAGCACTTCCCTTTAGAAAGATAAGACGATTGAAGTGAAGAAGAGAATGGCCCTGGGCGTCTGACTAATAGGGTGAGATCTTGGCTGTCAGGATCAGCTTGACCTTGAGCAAGTTCCTTAACCTCTCTCTGCCTGTCTCATCATCTATAAAATAAGGATAATAGTAACCACTGTTATTGAGTTAAATGGGTTTATACATATAAAGCACTTAGAATGATGTCTGGCACATATTAAGCACTAAATGTTTGATGATGATGATATTATCATTCCCACAAAGCAAGCAAAGGAAGCAGGCCTTGTTATTTCTGCTTCTCTGGAAAAAAGTCACTGACAAACAGGAAAGGTCTTGAAAAGTTACCCAATCCTTGAACCAAATAGAAATCTACCAATCGCAGGGCAGGAAGCATCACACACTTCATTGATAACTAACTTCTACTTACATGGACTATGCAGCTATAAAGAGAAATTTAGTCCCTGAATTAATTAATTAAGTTTTCCCATCTGACTAAAGATTGATAGCTATGATTTGTGAATACAGAGAATAATTTTAGATCCACTTCAGTCCTTAAACCAACAGAGAAAAGAGAGTGGCAAGCAGTCCTACTGTCAGAAATGGGATGACAAAAGGAGTTTCATTTCAAAACGACAGGCTAAACAGGCAAGTGCACTTACCTCTCCATCCTCCCCAAATCCCAGTGACATAACAATAAAGACATTCACAAGGGAATCTCAGCAAAACAGTAATGAGAAGGTCTGAGGGCCACAGTCTATTTAACTGCAGGCCATCTTCTAGAGGATGGAGAGAAAGCAGAGGAAACTATATTACAAGACAGACCAGAGCAAAGCTGGCCACTTTTTACAACATGCAGGGCCAAAAGAGAACAGAGAGGCAGAGCCCTTTTTCCTGGAGGAGCTGGATAAATGCCCAGCTTTGAATCAGCAGGTAGAGAAATCAGGAGTGGGAAACCAGTTAATCAACCTGATTTCATCTGTACTTCCCATTCCTCAATCAGCCAACTCTCACTAAGGCAAGAGGACTATTGAAAAACAGAGGGACCTCCTGCAAATTACCTATATGAACAACCCAGTTCTTCATTGATAAGGATCACCAGACAGTGAAGGAAAACCAAAAGGACAAAAAAGGACAACTAAGATGAAAAGGTGATCAGACCTCAGAAGAAATACATATTTTAGGTCCCAGAAAAAACACCTGAAAAGAAATTCTGACTGGTATTCCTCAGACAGTGTTGGAAAGATAGTGCATCCTTAAAAGCAGGGCTGGGCACGGTGGCTCACGCCTGTAATCCGAGCACTTTGGGAGGCCAAGGCAGGCAGATCACAAGGTCAGGAGTTCAAGACCAGCCTGGCCAGCATGGTGAAACCCCGTCTCTACTAAAAATACAAAAATTAGCCTGGTGTGGTGGCGTGCGCCTGTAATCCCAGCTACTCAGGAGGCCAAGGCAGGAGAATTGCTTGAACCCAGGAGGCGGAGGTTGCAGTGAGCCGAGATCGCACTATTGCATTCCAGCTCTAGGCAACAGAGCAAGACTCCATCTCGGGGGGAGAAAAAAAAACCAAAAGCAAACAAATCATAAAGGAAGTAGAAATCAACAATGAATTCTTGGAAATAAGAAATATGATTGCCAAGATAAAAACGAGAAGAAATAAAATGGGAATGAAGTAAGGTATAGGGAATACAGAAACACACAGACACACACGCTTGTAGCTTTTAAAATAAGCCATGGGAGAATAAACCAAAAACCAACAAAGATGTTTACCTACAACGTATAGAGAAGAACAAAGACAAGGAGGAAAGCCAGACTTCTTTCAATCTATCTTACTTATGGTTTTATCTTTAGAACTACGTAAATATATAAGCAAAAAGCAAATATAAAAAAGAAAAATATCCCTAAAAATGAAACAAAAGACAAATGAATCTATATTATTTACCAAATTAGTGGCACAGCCACACAGAGAAGAATTATTTCAAGTTTAAAATTGTGTTTCGGCCAGGTGTAGTGCTTCACATCTGTAATCCCATCACTTTGGGAGGCCAAAGCAGGAGGAATGCTTTAGAGTTCAAGACCAGCCTGGGCAACACAGTGAGACCCCATCTCTATAACACACAAACAAAATTGGCCAGGTGCAGTGGCTCATGACTGTAATCCTAGCACTTTGGGAGGCAGAGGCAGGCAGATCACAAGGTCAGGGGTTTGAGACCAGCCTGGCCAATATGGTGAAACCACGTCTCTACTAAAAATACAAAAATTAGCCAGGCATAGTGGCAGGCGTCTGTAGTCCCAGCTACCAGGGAGGCTGAGGCAGGAAAATCACTTGAACCCGGGAGGCAGAGGTTGCAGTGAGCTGAGATCACACCACTGCACTCCAGCCTGGGTGACAGAGTGAGACTCCATCTCAAAACAAACAAACAAACAAAATTATCCAGACATGGTAGTGCATCCCTGTAGTCCCAGCTACTGATGAGGCTGAGGTGGAAGGATCACTTGAGCCCAGGTGGTGGAGGCTGCAGTGAGCCAACATGGCGCCACTATACTCCAGCCTGGGCGACAGAGTGAGGTGGTCTCCATCAATCGGTCAATCAATAAAATCGTGTTTTGACTGGACCCCTCTGGTGTTACTGTCAACAAATGAGAAAAGACAAATATAAAATCAAAGATATAAAAATCCTTTAATCCTTCATTTGAATTGGAAGTAAATCAGTCTGAAATCATGGTGTATCTTTTTCTTTCCAAAAAGTATGTATTTCCTAGTTCTACTAAAAAAAAAAAAAAACCTACTGGAATTTACATCTTAATTGTAATGAATGCCCTTAATACCATTTCCCACCAAAAAGAATCAGAACTAGTTAAAGAAATGGCTGATTCTGGATCTGGGATCAGAAATTTTTCCGATAAGCCCCGGACTTCTTGTAAAGCCAGAAAGCAGGGAACTCATATAACACTACTAGGCTCATGTCAAAAGCACCTAGAAAACCCGAAAAATAAGTGCCATTAACGATCAATAATGGGACAACTTAAGCATCAAAAAGAATAACCATTTAGGGGTGAAAATCATTAAATATATAAAAATTACTGAGTTCAGACTTAGCAATAATTTCTTGGATAGGACACGAAAAGCACAGGCAACAAAAAACAGATAAACTGGACTTCAAAATCAAAACTTTTAGGCATCAAAGGACATTACAAGCAAAAAGCAATCCATAGATGAAAATATTTATAAATCACATATGGGAAAAGGAATTAATATCCAGAATATATAAAGAACTCCTACAACTCAAACACAAAAATCCAATTTTTAAATGGGCAAAGGACTTGAATAGACTTTTGCCCCAAGAAATATGCGAACAGCTAATAAGCACATGAAAAGATGCTCAACATCACTAATCACTAGTGATATAGCTTAAATCTGTGTCCCCACACAAATCTCATGTTGAATAGTAATTCCCAATGTTGGAGGTGGAGCCTGGGAGGAGGTGACTGGATCATGTGGTGGATTTTCCCCTTTGTACTCAATAGTGAGTGGGTTCTCATGAGACCTGGTTGTTTAAAAGTGGGCAGCACCTCCCTTCTCTCTCTCGGTCCTGGCTCCTGCCATTTAAGATGCCTGCTCCGCTTTGCCTTCTGCCACCAATAAAAGCTCCCTAAGGCCTCCCCAGGAGCAGATGCTGCCATACTTCCTGTACAGCCAATTAAACCACTTTTTTTTTTTTTTTTTTTTTTTGAGACGGAGTCTCGCTCTGTCGCCCAGGCTGGAGTGCAGTGGCGGGATCTCGGCTCACTGCAAGCTCCGCCTCCCGGGTTCACGCCATTCTCCTGCCTCAGCCTCCCAAGTAGCTGGGACTACAGGCGCCCGCCACTACGCCCGGCTAATTTTTTGTATTTTTAGTAGAGACGGGGTTTCACCGTTTTAGCCGGGATGGTCTCAATCTCCTGACCTCGTGATCCGCCCGCCTCGGCCTCCCAAAGTGCTGGGATTACAGGCGTGAGCCACCGCGCCCGGCCAATTAAACCACTTTTGTTTATAAATTACCCAGTCTCAAGTATTTCTTTACAGTAAGGCAAGAACAGACAGTACAACTAGGGAATAATATAACTTGGAAAATGCAAATCAAAACCACAGTGAGATACCACTTCATACCCTATTAGGATGGCTAATATTAAAATAAACAAAACACAGAAAATAAGTGCTGGCCACTGCCAGCCTGGGCAACATGGAGAAACCTCGTCTCTACTAAAAATAAAAAAAAAAATAGCCAGGCGTGGTCCCAGCTACTTGGGAGGCTGAGGTGGGAGGATCACCTGAGCCCGGGAAGCACAGGTTGCAGTGAGCCGAGATCGCAATGGGCCACTGAACTCCAGCCTGGGACGGAGAGCGAGACACTGTCTCAAAAACAAAACAAAACAAAAAGTGCTGGCAAGGACATGGAGAAATTGGAAGCCTTGTGTATTGCTAGTGGGAATATAAAATAGTGCAGCCACTGTGGAAAACAGTATGGTGCTTCCTTAAAAAATTAAACATAGAATTACCATGTGATTCAGGAAATCCACTTCTGTGCATCTACCCAAAAGAACTGAAAGCAAGGACGTGAGCAGGTATTTCTTCACCCATGTTCACCGAAGCATTATTCATAATAGTCAAAAGGTGGAAACAATTCAAATGTCCATGGAAGATGAATAGATAAACAAATGTGGTATATCCATACAATGGACTATTATTTAGTATTAAAAAGGAAGAAAGGCTGGAAGCAGTGGCTCATGCCTGTAATCCTAGCACTTTGGGAGGCTGAGGTAGGAAGATCGCTTGAGGCCAGTTTGAGACTAGCCTGGGCAACATGGCGAGACCCTGTCTCTACAAAAAATTTAAAAATTAGCTTGGCATTATGGTGCACACTTGTAGTTCCAGCTACTTGGGAGGCTGAGGCATGAGGATCACTTGAACCCAGGCATCTGAGGCTGCAGTAAGCTTGACTGCACCACTGCACTCCAGCCTGGGTGACAGAGACCCTGTCAATAAAAAAAAAAAATTAATGAAGGAAATTCTAATAACATGCTCCAACATGGATGAACCTTGGAGATACTCTGCTAAGATGCCAGACACTAAAGGACAAATACTGTGTGATTCCATATATATGGGGTGCCTAAAATAGTCAAATTTTTAGGGACAAAAAGTAGAAGAGAGGTTGTGCCCAGGAGCTGAGAGAAGGGGAAAATGGGGAGTTACTGTTTAATAGGCAAGACTTTTTTTTTTTTTTTTTTTTTTTGAGATGGAGTCTTGCTCTGTCACCCAGGCTGGAGTACTAGTGGCACAATTTCGGTTTACTGTAACCTCTGCCTCCTGGGTTCAAGCAATTCTCGTGCCTCAGCCTCCCAAGTAGCTGGGACTGCAGGCTTATGCCACCACATCTGGCTAATTTTTGTATTTTTAGCAGAGACAGGGTTTCACCATGTTGGCCAGGCTGGTCTCAAACTTCTGACCTCAGGTGATCCACCCGCTTCAGCCTCCCAAAGTGCTGGGTTTACAGGCATGAGCCACCATGCCTGGCCAAGACTTTCAGTTTGGGATGTTGAAAAAGTTCTGGAGATGGATGGTGGTGATGGCTGCACAACATTGTTAATGTACTTATGCCACTGAAATGTATAATAAAAATGGTTAAAACTGTAAATTTTGTGTTATGCATATTCTACCACAATAAAAAAAGTGAGTCAATAATGATATTAAGAAAAATTCCATTGGTCATCTCTCTGTGGAGGTGTTAAGGCACCAAGCTATTGTTCTGAAAACTGCTGGGGGTGGGGGGGGGGGGTGAAATCAAGCATTTATCCTGCTTTTCCTGTTTATATAGTTTTTTTTTGAATACTCCATTTAGGAAAGTGCTTAATCAAAGAAAATTAGCCAATAAATAAAGAAGAAATGCTAGGAAAACTATTATTTTGCAACTCTAATGAAATAGTGTATCTAGCCAATGATTATTAATCACTGTTAAAATGATTTGGTGAAACTTGATGGAGAAGTTTATGATGAAGGAATCAGGCATAACACCTGAACTCACTAATTAATTTTAGCATCATTAAAGTGGGGAACTAAACATATAATTATATGCCTATCATTGTGACAAAATAGGAAGTACACAGTACCACCCAAAAAATATTTTTGCCTAAAATACTGAATCAAAATCTAATCGAGTCTCTATATCTAGCGAATTACTTACAGGAAACATGAGAGACAGAGAAACTCCAAATTTCACGTGTTTTTTCATAGGTCTTTTCAAACGTATTGTTCATAAGTAACCACTGATCTTATTGGTCTAAGTGAGTTAGGATTCTGATAGACCCTTGGGGGCAATTTTTACCAGCTTGGTCCTCCAGTTTCATTTTTATTCCTTTCTGCCAACCTTTTAATCTCTCTTCTGCATGCAGTTTATGAAGAATTTATATCCAATGGTCCCTGGCACTTTGAATAAAATCAAACTCCTTACTGAGACCTGCACAGCCCTGCCCACCTCTCCAGCCTCATGTCGTGCCTCCTGAGTCTCACTCATCATTCTGCAGTCACACCATTTATCTTCCAGTTCTTCTAGTGCCCCAAGCTCTTTACACACGCTGCTGCCTCTATCCAGAAAGCTCCTGCCTCCCTCCTACTCATGATGCTCCTCCCGTTCATCCTTTAGCTCTCAAAACAAGTGTTACACCCTCAGAGAAGCCTTCTGCAGCCAACCTGTCTAATCTAGGGTCACCTCACCCCTACAATGCTGTCTTATCTTCATGACAACTTGCAATCATCTTACCATTTTATTTGCATATGTACACTTTACCACCTGGCACATAAGCTCCTAAAGACAGCAATGGCTTGTTCACAGCTGGATTCTCACAAGTGTGCTGCCCAACTCTCTGGAAATCTGACATGAATGAGCCATTGTTCCAGTGGCACTGTCGCGCAAACTCGAGAAACTGGCTGCTATAGCAAGCTACTTCTCCACCTGAAAGGTGACTGGCTTGTGGAAACCTGGCAGTGGCTGCGGTATCTGTGACCTTAAGACAGATGATATGAGGGAGAAGGCAGAGATCATGGTCTCCACTTCCAAAGTCACAGCCAGGTAACAGGATTATCCAGAACTCTCTCACACTCAGGCTTGATGTGGATGGAGCACACTGGCTATTTCTCTGGGGAGCCTGTCCTTTAACTTTTACAAATCTGTTTATGGCATCTTCCACTGTACATATACACATATGTACATAAACACACATACCCACACACACTCTTTTTCCCTCATTTCTACAATCAAATGTGTTATGTTTGTTCCTTTAAAGTTTCAGGTTTTGCAACTTAATTTACCTTGCCAAAACTGATGATCAAATATGGATGGGCTGGGCACAGGTGCTCACCCCTGTAATCCCAGCACTTTGGGAGGCCGAGGCAGGCAGATCACCTGAGGTCAGGAGCATGAGACCAGCCTGGTCAACATGGCGAAACCCCATCTCTACCAAAAATAAAAAATTAGCTGGGCGTGGTGGCGCACACCTGTAATCCCAGCTACTCAGGAAGCTGAGGCAGGAGAACTGCTTGAACCTAGGAAACATAGGCTGCAGTGAGCCAAGATGGCACCACTGCACACCAGTCTGGAAGACAGAGCAAGACTCCATCTCTAAAGAAAAAAAAACAAACAAAACACAAATATAGATGAACCCTCCAAAGATGATATGCCAATAAGCATATGAAAAGACAGTCAACATCACTAACTATCAGGGAAATGCAAATCAAAATCACAATGAGATACCTCTTCGCAACCACTAGGATTACTATAATCAAACAGACAATAACAAGTGTTGACAAAATGTTAGAGAATTTGGAATCCTCATATACTGCTCAGGGTAATACAAAATGGTACAGACATGTTGGAAAACACAGTGGCAGTTCCTCAAATGGTTAAACATAAAATTACCACACAACCAAGAAATTTTACTCCTAGGTATATATATCCAAGAGAAATGAAAAACATGTCTACAAACCAACATGCAGATGAACGTTTGGAGCAGTATTATCATAATACCAAAAACTGGAAACAACTCAAATGTCTATCAATTGACAAATGGACAAACAAAATGTAGTATAACTGTACAATGGAATATTATTCAGCCATGAAAAGGAATAAAGTACTGATACATGGATGAACCTTGAAAACATTATGCTAAGTGAAAGAAACCAGACCCAAAGTTCCCTTAATATGAACTGTACCAATTACGTAAATCCATTGAAACAAAAAGTCAATTAATGGTTGCCTAAGGCTGGGGGTGGGGGTGTGGAATGGGGGAAATAAGGGATGACTGCTAATGGGTATATGGTTTATTTGCAGAGTGATGAAAATATTCTAAAATTGATGATGGTTGCATAACTATGAACATACTAAAAACCACCAATTTATATACTTTAAATGGATAAACTGTATGGTATGTGAATTATATTTCAATAAAGCTGTTACAAAAAATATAAAGATGAATCATTCCTAAACAATTCCCTCTTCTGAGGAAAAAAAAAAAAACACAGAAAATGTTCTGTCCTCTCCAATCCACAAAAATGCAAATCCAAATATCTACCCTTGATAATGTGGAGACACTACAGGAAATTCTTTAGGCAGATTAGTGAAGTTATTGTCTATGAAGTTCAAAGCCCAACCATTTCCATGTTTTTAGTCAGTTCAGACTGACTCAAACCGTATTTAGAAATGCACTCTAGAAAAATGCTTTGAAGAATTTTATTCTCAACATTCATAAATTTAAAATATCTATCCAGGCAAGAGAAAATGCCTGGAAAATTCAGTGCTTTGCTCGGACGTTCCTTAGAACTCTACTTTTTTAGCTCCCTCTATCTGTTACCACATTACAAAGTGAAGCAACTCTGTAAGCTGCTAACACGAAAAGACGCTTAGTGCTGGCTCTCCTCATACCTCTCTGGCCATTCTTAGTTGCCCCTTTGAGCTACTCCTCCTCTGATAGACCTTAAGTGCTATGCCCTCTCTGTTTCTAAGAGCAACATATTCCTTCTGGGAAGATTCCCAAATCCATCCCTCTAGCCCAGATCTTTGTCCTGTGCTCCAGAACCCAAATATTCAACTGCCTAGTGGACAGGTCCCAAAATCAAAAGTCCAAAACCAAATCTTCCAAGTCTTTCAATATGCCTTCCCAGTCTTGGCAAATGACATCACCATCTGCCTACTTGAACAAGGCAGAAACCTGGGAGTTATCCTCTACTCTTCACTCTCCTTCACATCCAATTAATCACAGTCTTATCCTTCCTGCCTTCTTGAGACGGAGTTTCGCTCTAGTTGCCCAGACTGGAGTGCAATGGTGCGATCTAAGCTCACTGCAACCTCCGCCTCCTGGGTTCAAGCGATTCTCCTGCCTCAGCCTCCTGAGTAGCTGGGATTACAGGCATACACCACAACACCCGGCTAATTTTGTATTTTTAGTACAGACGGGGTTTCTCCATATTGGTCAGGCTGATCTCGAACTCCCAACCTCAGGTGATCCACCCGCCGCGGCCTCCCAAAATGCTGGGATTACAGGTATGAGCCACCATGCCCGGCCCCTTCCTGCCTTCTTAGTATCTCTCAAGTCCTTTTCCTTCTATCTTCACTGCCGTACCAAAGCTACTGTTTTTACCTCCTGCCTGAATTATGGAGGCGCCTCCTGAGTGATCTTCCAAATGCCTGGGCTACTCCCCTCTGGATGCTGTGTGACTACTCTAGAATCAATGTGATCACACCACTCTGCGCTTAAAATCCACTATGGCTCTCCATTACCCTTCCCAATTTTCTTACACCGCCCCAACACCACCCACTTCCTACATGTGCCATCTTCCTTCTCGCCACCTGGCCACACATTTCATTTCTACTGTCTGGAAAGCTCTCTTGGCTCACTCTCATTCCTCTTGGATGTCTAACTTAGGCATCACTTCTTCTGAGAAACCACTTTGACAGACTGAGCGAGGGGTTCCTCTGCTGCCGTAACACCCTGTTTTTAGCCCCACCTTAACATTAACTCTACTGAAGCATAACATGCTAGATCACAACTGCCGGTTTGCTCTGTGTTTCCCTGTCACCTCCAACCCCCAGGACCCCTGAGCTCATTCAAAACATCCAAGGGTGCTAAGCATGATGTAAACATTTAACAAATATTTGTTGAATTATTAGTTTGTCCTCAGTACTTATTTAATGGTATTCCTTTACAACATTCATGAAGTCACCCTTGCCAACCACGGAGGCAGTAGTTAGATGCTAGAAATAAGGTTCTGCTTAAAATAAATAAATAAGCTAGTGAAGACATGCCACGTCCACATAAGTACTCCCCAAAGAAATGGACCAGTCACTAAGTGTCTATGACGTGCCAAGCATTATACTTGGAGCTTTAGATATCAAATATCTTGAAACAGCTGACATTAACTGTGGGTAAGAGCCAGGCACTGTGCTATGCACTTCACATGTTATCATATTTATTTATTTATTTTCAAGACAGGATCTTGCTCTGTTAAGCCCAGGCTGGAGTACAGTGGCACAATCTCGGCTCACTGCAATCTCCATCTCCTGGGTTCAAGTGATTGACCAGCCTCAGCCTCCCAAGTAGCTGGGAGTACAGGTGTGCGTCACACACCTGGCTAATTTTTGTGTTTTTAGTCGAGACAGTTTTCACCATGTTAGCCAGACTGGTCTCGAACTCCTGACCTCAAGTGATCCAACCTCCTTGGCCTCCCAAAGTGCTGGGATTACAGGCGTAAGCCATCACACCTGGCCGTGTTATCAAATTACAAGGTTATCACAATGACCCCATAAGGTAGGTGAGGCATCTAATAAGATGAAGTGAGTTCTTCATGTTCTCACCACATGGCTAAGGTAGTGGTCACCACACAGCTAGGTCTGGGACATGGCAATCTGCTGCCACAGGTTGAGCTCTCCATTCTTGCACCATCCCACCTCTGTCAAATATCCAGACCATGGCACTCTGCTTACCACTCCTAGAAGATGGTTAAGGCTTCCAGCTTCTTGGAACTGATGAGAAGCTGAGCTGGAGCAATGAAAAGTGACCTCTCTCTAGGAGATCATACTCCGTATCACTGCTGATGATTCCCAAATTCAACTCTCCAGTCAAGACCTCCCTCTCCAAGGACCAGACCCAGGAGACATCTCTGCAGGGTCTTCAAGTTTTACCCTTTCATGGCCAGGGCACGGTAGCTCACGCCTGTAATCCCAGCACTTTGGGAGGCCAAGGTGGGTGGATTACCTGAGGTCAGGAGTTTGAGACCAGCCTGACCAACATGGCAAAACCCTGTCTCTACTAAAAATACAAAAATTAGCCGGGCATGGTGGTGGGCGCCTGTGATCCCAGCTATCTGGGAATCACTTGAACCCAGGAGGCAGATGTTGCAGTGAGCCAAGATTGCATCACTGCACTCCAGCCTGGGCAACAGAGCAAGACTATGTTTCAAAAAAAGTTTTACCCTGTCACCTTTCTATTTCCCACTCCTCCTGCTATATTTACTGCCTTGCTTGGTCAAAGGCACAACCAACTTTTAACCCAAACTTAAGGTGTTATTCCAGATGGTCCCCGTCCTGTTGTCTAGCCTGTCCTTTCAATCCTGTCAATCCTGTTCACCACAGTGCCTCTTCTACAGCAACTGCTCCATAAATGTTACCTATTATTATTATATCCTAAATGTTTCTCATTTCCTCCTTACCCTTGCACTACTCAGCTTCCAAGGAAATTGACTTCCAGAGCAAGCAATATCAAGGCACAGAAGCTGACAGAATGCCTTCTATGAGGACAAGAAGCCAGCCTGCCAAAGGCTCAGGCCCTAGTTTTTTTGTTTTTGTTTTTGTTTTTGTTTTTGAGACTTGCTCCATGCCCCAGGCTAGAGCACAGTGGCACGATCATAGCTCACTGCAGCTTTGACCTCCCTCAAGTGAACCTCCCACCTCAGCCTCCTAAGTAGCTCAGCTAATTTTTATTTTTTGATTTTTTGTAGAGATGGGGTCTCTCTACATTGCCCAGGCTGGTCTCAAACTCCTGGGCTCAAGCAATCCTTCTGCCTCGGCTCCCAAAATGCTGGTACTACAGACATGAGCCACCGCGCCCAGCTCCTAGTTCTTTCAATGAAAGTGCACAGAAGGGGCCGGGCGTGGTGGCTCACACCTGTAATCCCAGCACTCTGGAAGGCCGAGGCGGGTGGATGACGAGGTCAGGAGATCGAGACCAGCCTGGCCAACATGGTGAAACCCTGTCTCTACTAAAAATACAAAAAGTTAGTTGGGTGTGGTGGCACACACCTGTAGTCCCAGCTACTAGGGAGGCTGAGACAGGAGAATCGCTTGAACCCGGGAGACAGAGGTTGCAGTGAGCCAAGATCACGCCACAGCACTCTAGCCTGGGCAACAGAGTGAGACTTCATCTAAAAAAAAAAAAAAAAAAAAAAGAAAGTGCACAGAAGGTATACCTGAACACTAGCTGAAGCTGATAGAGCACAGCATACTCTAAGTAGCAAACTAAGAATTATGAGAATGTCAGATATGAAAATAGAAACTAACAAATGGCTTTAATCCCAGGGAACCAAACATTCTACTTTATTCCATTTTATAAGTTAGTAATTAGTAATTCAATTCTTTAACACAGTGGTTCTCAACAAGTGGGGAAAAGTATAATTTTGTGTCCTTCTCTGCCCTACCAACATCTGGCAATGTCTAGAGATGTTTTGGTTGTCACCCTGGGCAAGTGCTAGTGGGTAGCATCCAGTGGGTAGAGGCCAGAAGTGCTGCTGAACATCCCATAATGCACAAGACAGCCCCTACAAAGAATTATCTACCCCAAAATGTCAACAGTGCAGCTCTTAAGAATCTCCGATAAACTAATGCTTTGAGCACCTTCCATATTCAAGTTAACTAATGTATAACAAGTTACTTCTTTCTGGGGAGATGATACAAACTTTCTCCATAAATTAAGCTATAACGGGTCCATAAGCTAAGAAGAGGCATCATCAAAAAAGAGACTGATAAATGCTAAATAAGTCGTTTAGAAAACAAATGCCATGGGTTCAGAGGAAGGAGGGTGCCATAGAGGCTGAGGCCCCCCTCAAAGATCTGAGAGAGCAGACTAGGCTCCTCAGCTCACTTCAAGCTGCCAGTCAAGGCCCTCTAGAGAGTAACCAGAATCCACCTCCCTATCCTTACCTGCAACAGGGCCTGTCCCTTCAACTTAACCTTCCCTCAAGCTGCAGAGGCCACAGGGCCACGACATTCCACCCACATTGTTACTGCTGAAAAAAGCCCTCACTTCCTTCACAAAAGTGCTGTCCTCCAACTAAACAGCAACCCCTGTCTCCACCCACAAGGCTGAGGACATGATGTCACCTCAACCCAATCACAAAATCATGTTCCTATGACTCCTAGAGGAAGAAGGTAGTGAAAAGATTAAGGTGGAAAATGCCTTAAATGGCTCAGGCCCTGAGGCCTTGTCCTCTGCCACCTAAAATCACTGCTTAGCAG
Source organism: Homo sapiens (assembly GCF_000001405.40). Taxonomy (NCBI): domain Eukaryota; kingdom Metazoa; phylum Chordata; class Mammalia; order Primates; family Hominidae; genus Homo; species Homo sapiens. Next base: position 125,093 of record NW_003315963.1, on the reverse strand, counting down.
CAGCCAGCCAGGAGCCGCCTCATTTCCTGTGCAACTGCGGTAAAAATAGGAAGTGGGGGAGGAAGTTCACAAAGCAGAAACAAAAGTAATCACTGCCTAGCTTCCTGAACACAAATCACCGAGCAGGGAGGGTATCATTAAAACATCAGAAGAGAAAGGCGGGCATGGAGAGCAAGGCCAGAGGAAAAGAAGTGACACTTTGGGGTGGGGTCCACCAAGCCCAGACTATTTCTGTGCCTGAGACACTGCTCCAAAAGGAAAACTGGACAAAACTGGACACTAGCCTATTCTACAGAAATGGCTTCCATGGAATTAATACTAAAGCATGTTCACTTGAAGACATGCAAAAACTGAACTGTTCTAGCAGAGTAAAAAATATCAATGAAAAGGTTTTAAGGAGGCCAAGATTAAACTATTTTTCTAGTCAAGAGGTAGCTACTAAAACAAAACAAAGGTCAGGTCTGGTGGCTCACACTGTAATCCTAACACTTCAGACGGCCAAGGCAGGAGGATCACTTGGGCCCAGGTGTTCATGGTTGCAGTGAGCTATGATCATGCCACTGCACTCCAGCCTGGGTAACACAGCAAGGGCCTCTCTCAAAATAAATAAATAAATACATAAATAGAAATAAATTTTAAAAACAAAACAAAAGAGCTACTATATAATTGATTGGTTGACAAAATCCGAAGCCCATGTTATCCTATACTGAGCTATGAAAACTCAGGCGGATAGGAAAAAAACTACTGAATAAACATTCTAATCAGTGCCAGAATCTATCACAAGTAAAAATAAAGAGGCTTCTACAACCATCCCCACCCCCAACACGGGTCAACCCTGTGAGGCTCCAGGCACCCAGGATGCAGTGGGAAAGGAGACAGATGCAGCACCGGCTCGCTACCAATCTCATGTGGGAACAACCTGCTTCCACGTGGTGATCCATGACCGCCTCTGGTACTGACATTTGCTCTGTAACAATTTACCACCACAAACCATGGCGTTCCTCTATGAAGCCAAAGCAACTTATCATTAGCGGTTCTGAAGAGCTTTTATATTTGGTAATCTACAAACAACTGATCATTTCATTTAAGCAGAAGAACAACTTTTCTAACCGCAAGGTCAACAGAGCCAAAATTTACTTTCAAAATAACAGAGGTTTTAAAAAAATAGGTCAAATGTGCTAAGTAGTAATATAGATAAAGAACAGGCTTAATTTTGTTTCATTTGAGGGGTGGCTTGTTGTTTTTGCTTTTATTTTTGGTGGGGAAGGAACAGGAAGATCAATGCGTAACTTTTTTTAAACAGTCACTACGTTAATAAGTAAAAAAGTAAATGAAACGGGTAGTAATCACCACATATTCAATTTCTTTTTTCTTTCTTCTTTTAAGAGACGGAGTCTCACTGTGTTGCCCAGGCCAGTCTCAAACTCCTGGACTCAAGCAACCCTCCCACCTCGACCTCCCAAAGTGCTGGGATTACAGGTGTGAGTCACTATACCTGGCCTCAATTTCATACAAAGAAAAATAGTGAACATTTAATGAAAAAAAAAAATCCAGTATTACTTGGTCCTGATGAGGACAGACCTAGCTGTCTGTCTGATTTTCTGGTAACAAATGGACTTAACTGTACTCTAAGACTGTTGTTTTAGTCTTCTTATGAAGTCAAAAGCTCACTCTCAAAACCTGCTGCCATCAAAACAAAACAAAACTAGTATTAGAACTCTTGAAGGAATTCTATTACAGGAACACTGTGAGCCAAAAAAAAAATCTTTGTTAAACAGAGATCTTCAAAGGAAGAAGAAACAACGAAAAAAGGGGCAAATCCCCGCCAAGGAAAGTTTTGTCTACAAACACATACAAACCACCACCTATCACCAAAGGATGAACAAAGCTGGCTCCTAAACTTCCGAAAAAGTTTGTTCAGGTAAAAGGAAGGTTTCATCTATCAACTAAAATAGTCTTGGACCATTAAAAATTTCTGCATCAAATGTGCCCAAGTACTATGAAAACATTTGTGACAACAAATTGTGTTGCTAGTGGAAATTCAAGTGTAAATCAGGGGGTGAAAATAATTTATTTCTAAGTAGATTTAAAAAAAAAAAAACACAAAGCACCACGTGCAGTGGTTCACGCCTCTAATCCCAGCACTTTGGGAGGCCAAGGCGGGTGGATCACGAGGTCAAGAGTTCGAGACCAGCCTGGCCAACATGGTGAAACCCCGTCTCTACTAAAAATACAAAAATTAGCCAGGTATGGTGGCAGGTGCCTGTAATCCCAGCTACTCAGGAGGCTGAGGCAGGAGAATTGCTTGAACCTGGGAGGCAGGGGTTGCAGTGAGCCAAGATTACCCCACTGCACTCCAGCCTGGGCAACAGAGCGAGACTCCATCAAAAAAAAAAAAACAAAAAAACCACAAAGCAATTATATAATTTATTCAAACCTAATTTGTTAAAAAAAAAAATCAACAGTCTACACCAGTTAGAAACCTGCGGTTTATTTTTGTTACAGTGTGGTACAATGTGCAAAAGCCCAGGTATCCAAAAAAAAGTTTTCAAAACTTCTAAAAAAAAGGTTGGATTACTGAAAACTAATTGTGTCCATTAGAAAGTTATTTAAGAAGACTTAAAATTCTATTTTTTGTTTTTGTTTTTACTTATTTTTTTAAAGACAGGGTCTTGGCTGGGCACGGTGGCTCATACCTGTAATCCCAGCACTTTGGGAGGCCAAGGTAGGAGGACTGCTTGAGCTCAGGAGCTCAAGACCAGCCTGGGCAACATAGCAAGACTTCGACTCTACTAAAAAGTAAACAAAAAAAAATTAGCCCAGTGTGCTGGCATATATCTGTAGTCCCAGCTACTTGGGAGGCTGAGGTAGGAGGATGGTTTCAGCCAGGGAGATTGAGGCTGCAGTGAGACCTTACAGTCTCTTGCTCTGTTGCCAAGGCTAGAGTACTGCAGTTGTGTGATCGCGGCTCACTGCAGCCTTGATCTCCCGGGCTCAGGCAACTTCCCACCTCAGCCTCCCAAGTAGCTGGAACTACAGGCACACACCACCATGCCTGGGTAATTTTTAAATTTTTCTGCAGAAGATGGGGTTTCGCTGTGATGTTCAGGTTGGTCTCGAACTCCTGGCCTCAAGCGATCCTCCCGCCTCGGCCCTTCAAAGTGCTGGGATTACAAGCATAAACTACCATGTCTGGCCCAAGAAAACTTAAAAATTCTATACTGCCACTCTTAACAACTTTGCACTATGGAACCTATCCAAAATTAACCTCAAATGGAGGAAAAAAAAACAAGTATTTATCCAGAAGCTTATATATAAATAGGTAAATCGAACTATAATTTAGAAATTTTTTTCTCACTATGGAGAAGGATTATATAAATTTTAGATAAACTTAAGATTCAAAATCATTTCTGAGAATTTAAGGCATCCATAAAAAATTCTATCAATAAATTATAACATCTCTTCCAAGCTGAGAACACTGACTCCAATTTTGCATACCCAGCAAACCTTCCCATCCCTCAAAAAGACCAGAAAGTTGCCTGATGCAATGGCTCACACCTGTAATTCCAGCACTTTGGGAGGCCGAGGTGAAGAGATCAAGACCATCCTGGCCAACATGGTGAAACCCCATCTCTACTAAAAATACAAACATTAGCTGGGCATGGTGGCATGCGCCTACAGTCCCAGCTACTCAGGAGGCTGAGGCAGGGGAATCGCTTGAACCCCGGAGATAGAGGTTGCAGTGAGCCGAGATTGCGCCACTGCACTTCAGCCTGGGTGACAAAGCGAGACTCCTGTCTCAAAAAAAACAACAGAAAATCAGAGTCACAGCCAGGAAGCTCATTCTTCCCAATATTTCATCAGGTCAAACATTAAGAAATGAGAAAATTCTAGGTGATTCCTCACCATCCACTCGCTAGGCAGGGAAGACAGCCCCAGAGAGCAGGCCCGCAGTGGTTCACCTCCAGGCTGGCTTCTGGCTCTGCCACTTATCTGCGCCATGAGCCTTCACATACTCAAACATTCACTAAGGTTCTCCTAAGTGCATAGCACTGCTCCAGGAACCCAGGATGCAGTGGTGAAGAGACAGACATAATGCTTGCTCTCAAGGAGCTTACCGTTAATAAGGGAAAAGGAGAAAATGCTCAGGCCCTTGCCTTTCAGGTAGATGCTCCAATACAAAGAAACTTCATGGAAACGACGCACTTCCAAAATGCAGTAGTTACTGGTACGGGTATGGGAATCAGACTGATCTAGATGTGAATTCCTGCTCTTAGTAAATATCAGCTGAATAAATGGCACTTACTAACTTTGAGCAAGTCGCCTAACTCTTGTGCCTCAGTACTGCTGAGGATTAAATCCATAAAGCACAGCCTCTGCCATACCCTCAGTCTCCGTAAATGAAAGCTACTGCTCTGAAAGAGGGCGTGGATTAGTAAGAAGATAGCATTTCATCTTCCACTGCAATTCTTAATTCTTGTCTTCTACTAGTCGAAAACAAACTCCCTCGAACCCCCAAAATCTGTAAGTTAAAACAACTTTCAGAAATAAAACTTACCTTCCTGCAGCTCTGGGCCCAACTCCCAAGTCCAGGCAACAAACTAAAAGAAGTAATGCCCTATGCGCTGGAGGGGAAAGAGGTCATGGCTCCTCCCATTTCCGTGCCCACCACTCCCTCCTCTTTCAACCCCAAGCCAAAGGCAGGAACAGAAGGGACACAGTTGAGGAGGGGCATCACCTGGAATTACAAAGTACATTACAAAGTGACTCAAGCACAAGGATGTAGCGCATTCTCTCCCACCTTGACACCCAGGAGCAGCACAGGTCCTTGTGGCTGGTGAGAGGAACCACTTCCGCCTCTTCCTGCCTAGGTCACCAGAGCCTGCGGCACCCAAGTCTGGGAGCCAAGCCAGCTTTCCCCAAACTCTGTTCCCATGAACATATATCCACCTCGGGGACCGGGGGTGGGGTGAGGGAAGATGCGAGTTATTTCCAGGTTTCCTGGCCATAATTAGCATCTCACTAGTACTTAATCCCAAAATCATTTTTAGTAAGAAAATCAGATTTTTTTTCAGGTAATATCTTGCTCTAATTCCACTTTCAAAAATCTTCCCATTATGATTCTTTGCCACTGCCAATTTGAAAACACACTTAACTGACAGTGGCCCAGACACAAGGAACATAATCAAAATGACTTAAAAAAAAGAAAGAAAAGCAATATTCTATCTAGGCACGAATCCTAGAACAGACTCACGGTTAATGTAGAGGCCTGCGTCAAGAACACTCACTGGCAACACTGGTTATTCCCACGTGCCCTGCATTACGAGGATTGTTAAATACGTCACACAGAACACCTCATAGCCATTCCAAACATCAAGGCAGAGCAACCACACTTCACTGAGTCAAAGATGTCACCATTTACAAATCATATCATTGTCTCATATATGCCAAGAAAAACTCTGCCATATAACAATGACATGCCAGCCGGGCGTGGTGGCTCACACCTATAATCCCAGCACTTTGGGAGGCCGAGGTGGGCGGATCACAAGGTCAGGAGATCAAGACCATCCTGGCTAACACAGTGAAACCCCGTCTCTACTAAAAATACAAAAAATTAGCCAGGCATGGTGGCGGGCACCTGTAGTCCCAGCTACTCAGGAGGCTGAGGCAGGAGAATGGCGTGAACCGGGGAGGCAGAGCTTGCAGTGAGCTGAGATCATGCCACTGCATTCTAGCCTGGGCAACAGAGCAAGACTCCGTCCCCCCCTCCAAAAAAAAAAAGACATGTCATCACATGACACGTCCAAATTTCAGGCCTCCTCAAAGCTCTTGTCCTGTTTCTGACTCCTCTGCCTGCCTCAGGCTGGCTGGGACACACAACATGGAAAAAGTCCCTTTGTGTTATTTTCCCTCTAGAAATTACCCATATTTAACAACCATCATTTTGATGAAACCATCTTGGGCCACCTCAGTTCCCAAGGAGCCTTTCTGACTCCTGCAGCCTCTGCTGTCTCTGTCATTAGCTGCATGCTCTCCCTTTCCAAATGAACTGGGAGCATCAGAGACAGAGGCTGGACACATCTTTACACTTACGGTCATGCATAGCACAGGGACAGAGCAACAGAGACGACGACAAACACATACCTCCTGGGAACTGTTCCAAGGACTTTACAAATATTAACTCAGTAATGCCTCACTACAACCCCAGGAGGCAGGTATTACTACCTCCCCATTTTCAGAGGAGGTAAACTGAGGTCAAGGCAGGGGCAGGCCTTGAACCCAAGCCGCCTTGCACAGTCCTCACTCTTAACCTCCATGCTACATTCACTCTACACAACAGCCATGTCCATCATAGACATTTATTTTAAAAGTTATTGTTAAAATGAAAACATAGACCGGGTGCGGTGACTCGCGCCTGTAATCCCAGCACTTTGGGAGGCCGAGGTGGATGGATCACTTGAGGTCAGGAGTTCGAGACCAACCTGGCCAACATGGCCAACATGGTGAAACCCTGTCTCTATTAAAAATACAAAAATTAGCCAGACGTAGTGGCGGGCACCTGTAATCCCAGCTACTCAGGAGGCTGAGGCAGGAGAATCGCTTGAACCCAGGAGGCGGAGGTTGCAGTGAGCCAAGATTGCACCACTTCACTCCAGCCTAGGCAACAGAGCAAGACTCTGTCTCAAAAAAAAAAAAAGAAAAAAAAGAAAATACATATACACAGGGAAAAAAATTCACACCATACAAAATGGTATGCAAAGAAAAAGCTAACTCAGCCTAACAGCCTGGTTTTCTGGGGTCTCATCCCAAAAACAACCACTGTTTCTTTTCTATCATTCCATAAATTATTTCTGCACTTATAAACCTATTTCATGTATATCTATCTATCTATCTATCTATCTATCTATCTATCTCTCTATCGAGAGAGGGAGACATTATTTATTTTATTTTTATTTATTTATTTTTTGAGATGGAATCTTGCTCTGTCACCCAGGCTGGAGTGCAGTGGCACGATCTTGGCTCACTGCAACCTCCACCTCCCAGGTTCAAGCAATTCTCCTGCTGCAGCCTCCTGGACAGCTGGGATTACAGGCACCCGCCACCATGCCCAGTTAATTTTTGTATTTTTAGTAGAGGTGGGGTTTCACCATGTTGTCAGGCTGGTCTCAAACTCTGGACCTCAGGTGATCCGCCCGCCTCAGCCTCTCAAAGTGCTGGGATTACAGGCGTGAGCCACCATGCCTGGCCTATATATATTTTTTTAAACAAATGAGCTCATATTACTTCAAAAGTGGAGAAATTTTTTAAAATTAGAAAAACACAAATGGGCAAACATACATTGTTCTGTACCTTGCTTCTTTCACTGATTTCTCTGAGCTTGATCCACATCTGCACCTGTCCTGTTTTTATTAAATTCTAAGATATAAATATTTTTACATTTTAACTTCGTGGTTTTTCATGAAGTCAGAGGATCTTAGTGTGCTTGGACTTCATCAGGAAACAGGATCACAAAAAGCTTTTAAACATATATAAGACACTGGGAGTTATCTTGGCAGCCATGTGCAGGCTGAATCAAGAAGCAGAGGCCAGGCGAGGTGACTCACGCCTACAATCCCAGCACCTTGGGAGGCCAAGGCAGGCGGATCACCTGAGGTCAGGAGTTCCAGACCAGCCTAGCCAATATGGTGAAACCCCATCTCTACTAAAAATACAAAAATTAGCTGGGCGTGGTGACGCATGCCTGTAATCCCAGCTACTTGGGAGGCCAAGGCAGGAGAATTGCTTCGACCCAGGAGGTGGAGGTTGCAATGAGCTGAGATCGCACTACTGCATTCCAGCCTGGGTGAGAGAGAGACTCCGCCTCAAAAAAAAAAAAAAAAAAAAAAAAAAAAGCAGCAGCTGGGCATGGTGGCTCACTCCTGTAATCCCAGCACTTTGGGAGACCAAGGTGGGCGGATCACAAGGTAAGGAGTTCAAGACCAGCCTGGCCAATATGGTGAAACCCCGCCTCTATTACAAATACAAAAATTAGCCAGGCATGGTGGCACTCACCTGTAGTCCTAGCTACTCGGGAGGCTGAGGCAGAAGAATCGCTTGAACCCAGGGAGGCAGAGGTTGCAGTAAGTCGAGATCCTGCCACTGCCTTCCAGCCAGGGTGACAGAGCAAGATTCCATTTCAAAAAAAAAGGCAGGGAGACCTACCAGGTGACATGTGACATGATGCCACACATACCAGAGGTAAGTACCTACATCAAAGGGTTGTTGTGAGGATTAAACAATGCAATGTAGACAAAGCTCTCAGCATCAAACCTGGTTAGCGCAGTGAGTCGAAGGACTCAGCACAGGACCTGAAGTGCTGTTAGTGCCCAGTTAGACATTGTTATTAGTTATTTCAAGGACTGCTCCCACTTTCCAATGTCATTTCCCTCTACTCCTTATTCATACCTGTCCAGACTCTACCCTCAATCTCCTGCAGCTCAAATACCTCATGCTTGCTCTCACCTCCACACCTTTGGACGTGTCATGCCCCTGCCCAAGAGTCCTCCCCTCTTGCTGTGGCACTGGACTTACTTTTTCCCACAGTACTCAGCTCAAGAACAGCCTTCTCCAGAAGTCTCCCCTGAGAACTGCAGGCTGGATTCCCTGGATGAGCAGTGTAGGAAGAGCTTATCTGTCATTACTTCCCAGTGTCTGTTTATCAGCTTATTCAATGCACCCAGAAGCAAGCAGTTCCATGGGGATTAATTATTTAGGCTATCTAAGCTCAAAGAAAACTGATGTATGAACCAGAGGCCAGTTACTACTTTATGAATACCAACGAGAGCTAATACTGTCATTGAATACTTATCACAGGTGCCGGGTAGCACGCTCAGAGCCCTCACTGCAACACTAAGAGAAAGGTGCTACTATTATCCCCATTCTACAAATCAGAAAACTGAAAGATTAGCCAGCATCCCAAGACCAGGATCTGATCCAAGCAGCTTAGATGCAGAGCCCTCAACCACTCACATTCTCTCCTTACCAAGAAATCTCCACGTGCAGCTATCTTCTACTCAGATGGTACTGGGAGGACAGACGCTAAGCAAGGGAGAGACCCTTGCAGCCAGAGGCAACAACAGGGACACGCCCATCTGTGTGTTAGTGCAGATGGCTTTGTGGAGGGAACGCTGCACTGCTCCTCTGGTCAGGCCCCCAGAGAGTGCTACACACACACCACGTAATTCCTCTCTTGGACCCGCCACCCCAATTTCCAGACACTGTCCCAATCCTCTCCCAGAAACACAAGTATTTCTTCTGAGGATACAAAATTAAGTTTAAGCTTTCCAGCTACAAACACATTCCATGCATGCCTTCCTGGGGTTATAGCTGGGTCAGTTTGGTTGAATTTAAAGTTTTCCCTGAGATTCTTCAAACTACATTTACGAAATATCTTTTGACTTATATCTTTTCTATAGATAGCTAATGTGTATGACATTTTTTCTGATTTCATTCTCAGATGATCATTCATTCCTTCAACAAATACTTCATTAATGCTAAACGACGAGTTAGTGGGTGCAGCACACCAGCATGGCACATGTATACATATGTAACTAACCTGCACATTGTGCACATGTACCCTAAAACTTAAAGTATAATAATAAAATAAAAATAAAAAAATGATATTACCAAATCCTTGTCATAGAAAAGGTGATCAAGAAGTATATAGCCAAAATTATCAGGAAAAGATATTATAGGCTTATCTTGGAGATATTGCAGGTGTCATTCCAGATCATTTCAAGAAAGTGAATATCGCAATGAAGCAAGTCACATGATGTTTTTTATTTTCCTGTACATATAAAAGTTATATTTACACTATATTGTAGTCTGTTAAGTATGCAATCGCATTGTCACAAAAACAATGCACATACCTTAATTTAAAAATACTTCATTACTAAAAAATGCTAATGATCATCTGCATCTTCAGCAAGTGGTAAACTTTTTGTTGGCAGAGGGTCTTGCCGTGATGTTGATGGCTGCTAATTGATCAGAGTGTGGGTGCTAAAGGTTGGGGTGGCTGTGGCAATTTCTTAAAATAAGGTTTATTAGTCTGTTCTCACCCTGCTATGGGGAAATGCCCAAGACTAGGTAATTTATAAAGGAAAGAGGCTTAATTGATTCACAGTTCCCCAGGGCTGGGAGGCCTCAGAAAACATATTCATGGCAGAAGGGGAAGCAAACACGTCCTTCTTCACATGGCAGCAGCAAGAAGAATGAGACCCAAGTGAAGGGGGAAGCCCCTTATAAAGCCATCAGATCTTGTGAGAAGTTGCTCACTATCACAAGCATAGCATGGGGGAAACTGCTCATATGATTAAATTACCTCCCATTAGGTCCTTCCCACCACATGTGGGGATTATGGGAACTACAATTCAAGATGAGATTTGGGTGAGGACACAGCCTAACCATATCATTCTGCCCCTGGCTCCTCATGTCCCCTCATTAAACTGAATGAAATACAAAACAAACAAACAAACAAACAAAAAAAACTTCATCATTTCCACGCACTGTGTTCTAGGCCCTGGAGATCAAAGCAGTAAATAAGACACGCAAGATCTCTGAAACCTGGGAGAGGTTACTTGGTGACTCCCCTTCTAGGCACTTATAATACTTTATGACAATTGCTTATTTGGCATTCTTCCCAGGATGTGCTGTCCAGCTCTGTATTCTGATCTTCCAGTAAAGTAACTGGGCTGTACTGTAGGTACTCCATAAATGTGAGCTAACTCAATTCTTGAGTAAATTCACTGGGTCTCCTCTTTCACATCCAGAGTAGGACCACGTTAAGCCTGAAATCCCTTAAGAAAAGGTACAAAGTCTAAATCGAGGTGTAGGGATAGAAAGCAAATGGCAAATACAATCCATATCAAGAAGGAAGATGTGATTCACCGGCTGGTAAGAACCTTAAGAGTCAGGAAGGACAGGACACCTTGATAAGTGATATTTATTTATTTATTTATTTACTTATTTATTTTGAGACAGGGTCTCGCTCTGTTGCTTGGGCTGGAGTGCAGTGGCACAATCACAGTTCACTGAATCCTTAACCTCCTAGGCTCAAGCAATCCTCCGGCCTCAGCCTCCCAAGTAGCTGGAATTATAGGCATGGACCACCACACCTAGATAATTTTGGAGTCTCACTATGTTGCCTAGGCTGATCTCAAGCAATCCTCCCACCTTGGCCTCCCAAACTTCTGGGATCACAGGCATGAGCCCCTGTGCCAGACCTAAAATTCATTTTTTTAAGAGACAGAGGTCTCACTATGTTGCCCAGGCTGGTCTCCAACTCCTGAGAGCATGTAATCCTCTCACCTTGTCCTCGCAAAGAAGTGATATTTTCTTTTCTTTTTTTTTTTGAGACGGAGTCTTACTCTGTCGCCCAGGCTGGAGTGCAGTGGCACGATCTCAGCTCACTGCAAGCTCCGCCTCCCAGGTTCACACCATTCTCCTACCTCAGCCTCCTGAGTAGCTGGGACTACAGGCGCCCATCGCCATGTCCGGCTAATTTTTTAATATTTTTTTTTTAGTAGAGATGGGGTTTCACCATGTTAGCCAAGATGGTCTCGGTCTCCTGACCTCGTGATCCGCTCACCTCGGCCTCCCAAAGTGCTGGGATTACAGGCGTGAGCCACTGCGCCCGGCCAGAAGTGATATTTTCTTCACCTGGAGAAAGCATGGCCTCAGGAACATGTCCAGGGGTTACTGAACAGGAGAAAAAGAATTGACCTGCAGAAAACTCTGAGTCGGGGGTCACTAAGTGGTGGCAGAGGTAAGGAAATGAGGTGGTTCTCTACCCAGGACTCATATACTGGATAAGTGGGAAGGAATATGTTTTGGAGCGGGGGTAAGAGGTACAAAACTAGGCTTCAGAAAATGCCCCAAGGTAGATGTATGAAGAGAAGCAGTAAAGACAAATGAGAAAGTGCAGTCACAGATTTCAGGAAATGACCACACTAGTTCCAAGTCAAGAAGGCCAATCAAGGCCAAGCGTGGTGTCTCACGCCTGTAATCCCAGCACTTTTGAGGTCAGGAGTTCAAGACCAGCCTGGCCAACATGGTGAAACCCCATCTCTATTAAAAATACAAAAATTTGCTGGGGGTGGTGGCGCAGACCTGTAATCCCAGCTACTCGGGAGGCTGAGGCAGGAGACTCGTTTGAACCCTGGAGCCAGAGGTTGCAGTGAGCTGAGACCGAGCCACTGCACTCCAGTCTGGGCAACAGAGCAAGACTCTGTCTCAAAAAAAAAAAAAAGAAAAAAAAGAAAAAGAAAAAAGAAGGCCAATCAATGGGAGATTCACGAGAGCAAGAAAGAATAGCTCACCATGCCAAATACCTGAGATCAAAGTCAAGGAAAATAATTAAGCAATGGCCACTGCATGCATCAGTTAGGGGACCCTCAAGAGGGCAGTTTCAGTAGAGTTAAAGACATTTGAAGCACAAGCACAACCTGTTGCTGTTTTTCCTTAATCCAAACACAACATTCAGGCTCTCTGTGAACTTACACTTCAGAGAAAACGGCAACCTGCTTTTCAATAACTCCAAAACAAATCAATTCCTTATCTAAACCAACATTTTTTTGCCTACCTAGGAAGATCATCATTTTTCACTAAGGACAAAGTTACAGGAGGAAAAAAGAGTGATTAGCCAGGGGTGGTGGCTCACAACTGTGATCCCAGCTCCTAGGGAGGCTGAGGCAGAAGAATTGCTTGAACCTGGGAGGTGGAGGTTGCAGTAAGCCAAGATTGCGCCACTGCACTCCAGCCTCGGGGACAGAGGGAGACTCCGACTCAAAAAAAAAGAGAGTGGACACCCAACCCATGTGATATCCCAGCCTGCTAGCTTTCAGAAACAATTATTTCCTATAGACTTGGAAGACCCACTTGACACATGGATCCTGATGTATTAGGCTATAGGTTTTCAACAGAACAAACATTTACTAAAATTTTCACAGAATCATGTGCAATTTGCTTAAAAAAAAAAAAAAGGATGCTTAAAACATGGTCTTCCAAACATCTGGAGATAATTTTAGATTGAAAAATCTAGGCTTGCCAAGGGAATCTGAGAACTTTTCTATCTTGGTCTCCAATGCCAACCTACGTATTTGTGTGCAAAAATAGAGGAAGATTAGAATCTCAAATGCCACACTGAAAAGTTGCCACAACAAACCTGAACTCTTCATATGGAGTTTGTTATCTTGTCAGCAAGAAAGCAAATGAAACGGCAATAAACTAAACTTTTTGCTTTAAAAAGAAAAAAAAAATCTCAAACATGAAATATTCCCTGTACTTGTATTGGAAAATGATTTCTTTTTAAAACAAAATATTGTGAAGATACTGTGAAAAGAAAATACTGTGATTTTTAAAGACACTTGAAAACATCTAAGCACACACAAAATGTAAATATGAACTTTGTAAGTAGCCCTTACAAACATACACTTAGAACTTTTAGTCTAAAATATGATAAAATGATAAAGCTTACATATTATTCAATAAATCTGGAACTGACTAGCCATTTACAAAATATTTCATATTTTAAACCAAGAATGAATTTTAGGTAGACTAAAGGCAAAAAAATAAAACCATGAAACGATGAGACGCAAACATGAATTTCTTTTTTTTTTTTTTTGAGATGGAGTCTCACTCTGTTGCCCAGGCTGGAGCGCAGTGGCACGACCTCGGCTCACTGCAACCTTCGCCTCCTGGGCTCAAGCGATTCTCCTGCCTCAGCCTCCCAAGTAGCTGGGACTACAGGAGCGCGCCACCATGCTTGGCTAATGTGTTTTTTTGTATTTTTTTAGTTGAATCCGGGTTTCACCACGTTGGCCAGGCTGGTCTAGAACTCCTGACCTCAAGTGATCCGCCCGCCTCGGCCTCCCAAAGTGCTGGGATTACAGGCATGAGCCATCGCGCCAGGCTGGAATTTTTTTTTATGACAAAGAGACAGAAAAATTGTCCAAATATGTCAAAGGAAAACAAATACTATGTATTCTTAAAAATTGAACGTTACGGCCGGACACGGTGGCTCACGCCTATAATCCCAGCACTTTGGAACGCCGAGCCAGGCGGATCACCTGAGGTCAGGAGTTCGAGACCAACCTGGTCAACTGGGCGAAACCCTGTCTCTACTAAAAATACAAAAATTAGCCGGGCGTGGTGGGTGCCTGTAATCTCAGCTACTCGGGAGACTAAAGCAGGAGAATCGCTCGAACCCGGGAGGCTAAGGTTGCAGTTAATCTAGATCCCGCCACTGCACTCCAGCCTGGGTGACAGAGGGAGACTGTCTCAAAAAAAAACAAATAAAGTTACCTTTGACCCCATTTGTAAATTTATTCTAAGATAACAATCAGACCAGGTGTAATATCTCACACTTGTAATCCCAACACTTTGGAAGGCGAAGGCGTGAGGGTCGCTTGAGGCCAGAAGTTTTGAGACCAGCCTGGGCAACAGTCTCTTATTAAAAAAAAAAAAAAAAGACCATATCAAACAAATCCTTCCGGCAGAATTGTTTATCTTGTGACAAATTGGAAACTATCTCAATGCTCATCGGTGGTTAAATCACATACTGTAAAGTCCATAAAAATAACAATACCTATCTGTATTTATTGATTATCACCAAAATGTTAGCAGTGGTTGTCACTGAATGGTAGACTGGCAGATGACTGTCATTTTCTACCTTAAGACTTTTTGTGTCGTCTTGAGTGTTTTGCCAGGAAAGGAGAATTAACTGCTTTTATAATGGGGATGAGGGACCAGAACAAGGTATTTTCAAACTGGAGGCCCCCAAAGCTGAGTCTCTGGAAAATTTCTAAAAAGTCTAAACAAAATTCTTATCATGCCAACCAGGCACGCTTCTTTCCTCGCACCGCGCGGCGCAGAAAGACACACCCCTGACTCTGCGCTCGTCCCTCGGGCTCGGGTCCTCCACGCTCAGCCCCGGCCCTCCCGGTCCCCGCGGACCCTCCCCTCGGGCCCAATGCGCCAGCTGGCTCCGCAGGGCCGGAAAAGCGCGTTCCTCGGCAGCCTGGCGCCGCCGGGAAGGTGCGCGCAGCCCGCCCGGCAGCCCCGGGATGGCGTGAGGGCCGCCTCCCCGGCTAGCCCCAGCGGACCCCTGCCGCCAGCAGGCCGCCCTCCCTCCGCGGGCTTCCGGGAGCGGGTCCTGGCGCCAGCGCGACCTCCCGGGCCCCGGCGAACCGAGGGAGCGTCCCCTTTCCCCGCCTGACGGGCGCCGACCCGCCCCTGCGGTGCCGCGGCCGCCGAGTCTCCGACGCGCCCCCAGGTCCCGGGTTCGCGCCAGGAGGCCCCTCCGGGCTTCCGTCGGCCGGCCAGCGCCCGCAAAGCCCGGCGTCCTCCACAGCGGGCGGGCAAGGGGCGGGAGCCCACGGCCCCGCGCCCTGCGGCCCCGAGCGGAGCGGCGCCCCGCGGGCCCGTCTCGCCGTCTGCCCTGGCTGCGGCCCGCGGCCCCGCTGCCCACCGCCCACCGCCCGACCCCGCCCGCCAGCCCCCGCCTGCGCCCGCCGCGCCCGCTCCTCACCTGCGACGCGCCCCGGCCCCCAGCGCACCGCCTTGGACCGGCTGTGTACACCGGAAGTTACGTCTCCGGTCCGGCCCCGCCCCCGCCTCGGGCGGACGCGGGGAGGTTGCGGATCCCGCGCCTAGAGCGGACTCTCCTCTCGCATTAGAGGGGAGGGGGCGCCCCGGAGCCTCCTCTCCTGGGACCCTGGGCCCCCAAGCGGGACGGCCGGGGCGGAGGTTGAGGACTGGCGGCCAGAGCCGGAGGTCCACCCAGATCCCCCACCATGGCTTGGCCCCCGGGCGGGAGGGGTCGGGCTGCGTCCTCCTGGATTTATTACTGAAATTGACTGAAATCGATTACTGGCGTATGGAGTGTTTCCTAGATGCCAGGCCCCGACGGGCACTGCAGGAACGGGTAGTGCTCTCTCCCTCATAAGTTTATTCCTTAGTGGTAAATACACAATACCATTGTCACATATCCGGGTGATAATATAGTACCAATGGTGACAAGTGGTAGGAGGGGAAAGAGTAAGAGGGAGGGAGAGAGTACCCTGACCTAGTAAAGGAGAGTGATCCGGAATTCCCCCAGGGAAAGAGCAGGAGCTGAGGTCCTAAGGGGTAGAAGGGAGAAAAAAAAAAAAAAAAACGAGAAGGGAGGAGAACACATTACGCAGAAGCAGCAGCAAGGGTCTTCCAGTTCTGTGGGTTTTGTTTGTTTGAGACGGAGTCTTGCTCTATCGCCCAGGCTGGAGTGCAGTGACGTGATCTTGGCTCGCTGCAACCTCCACCTCCCGGGTTCAAGTGATTCTCCTGCCTCAGCCTCCCGGATAGCTGCGATTACAAGCGTGCGCCACCACGCCCGGCTAATTTTTGTGTTATTAGTAGAGACGGGATTTCCCCATGTTGGCCACGCTGGTCTCAAACTCCTGACCTCAGGTGTTCCGCCCACCTCGGCCTCCCAAAGTGCTTGAGCCACGGAGCATGGCCCAGTTTTGTGTTCCAATAATAAATCAGAGTGGTGAGAAGTTAGGTCTTACTTGACAGTGTTGCAAAACTAATGAGTTTTAAGCAAGAGGTGATTTGTCCATACTTGAGAGTGTAAAGGGGTTACTCTAGATGCAGTGTGGAGAAGGAAGGACTACGGAGGGGAGGCAAGAGTGGATATAAATGTGTACACCCATGTTCATATTAGTCAGAAGGTGGAAGCAACCCAATGTCCATCCACGGGTGAATGGGTTCACAAAATGTGGTATAAACATAACAATAGAATATTACTCAGCGTTGAAGGAGGCCGGGCGCCGTGGCTTACGCCTGTAATCCCAGCACTTTGGGAGGCCAAGGCGCGTGGATCACCTGAGGTCAGGAGTTCGAGACCAGCCTGACCAACATGATGAAACCCCGTCTCTACTAAAAATACAAAATCAGCCAGGCGTGGTGGCGCATGCCTATAATCCCAGCTACGATGCAAATAGATGAGCTTTGAAGATATTATGCCAAAAGAAACCAGTCACAAAGACAAATATCCTATGATTCCACTTACATAAGGTACCTAGAGTAGTCAAAAACATAGAGACGGGCCAGGCATGGTGGCTCATGCCTGTAATCCCAGCACTATGGGAGGCTGAGGCAGGAGGATCACCTGAGGTCAGGAGCTCCAGACCAGCCTGGCCAACATGGTGAAATCCCATCTGTACTAAAAATACAAAAAGTTAGCCAGGCGTGGTGGTGGAGGCCTATAATCCCAGCTACTTGGAAGGTCGAAGCAGGAGAACAACTTGAACCTGGGAGGCAGAGGTTGCAGTGAGCTGAGATTACGCCACTGTATTCCAGCCTTGGCGATGAAGCGAGAATCTATCTCAAAAAAAAAAAAAAAAGAGGCCGGGTGCAGTGGTTCACGCCTGTAATCCCAACACTTTGGGAGGCCGAGGTGGGCGGATCATGAGGTCAGGAGATCGAGACCATCCTGGCTAACATGGTGAAATCCCATCTGTACTAAAAATACAAAAAGTTAGCCAGGCGTGGTGGTGGAGGCCTATAATCCCAGCTACTTGGAAGGCCGAAGCAGGAGAACAACTTGAACCTGGGAGGCAGAGGTTGCAGTGAGCTGAGATTACGCCACTGTATTCCAGCCTTGGCGATGAAGCGAGAATCTATCTCAAAAAAAAAAAAAAAAGAGGCCGGGTGCAGTGGTTCACGCCTGTAATCCCAACACTTTGGGAGGCCGAGGTGGGCGGATCATGAGGTCAGGAGATCGAGACCATCCTGGCTAACATGGTGAAACCCCGTCTCTACTAAAAATACAACAAAAAATTAGCCGGGCGTGGTGGTGGACGCCTGTATTCCCAGCTACTCTGGAGGCTGAGGCAGGAGAACTGTGTGAACCCGGGAGGCAGAGCTTGCAGTGAGCCGAGATTGCGCCACTGCACTCCAGCCTGGGTGACAGAGCGAGACTCCATCTCAAAAAAAAAAAAAAAAAAGAAAGAAATGTAGAAGTTCTAATATTTTCTCCCAGTATCCCAATGGATTGCCTTCCCATACTATGGGGTACATGAACCTCCCTTTGAAAACCATTCATGGACTATGGTAGTGGCAATGGGGATGGAAAAAAAAAAGAAAGTCAAATTTGAGAAAGATTTTGGAATAAAATTGATGTAAAATCAGTGGTGAAATGGATATGGAGGGTGAGGAAGAGGTAGGAATCATGAATGTCTCCTGGGTCTCTGGGATGAGCCATTGTAGTGCTGGCACTCATTGTTTTGGGAAGCCCCGGAAGAGGACCATATTTGGGAGGGTGGAGGATGGGAAGAATGGCCCGAGTTCCAGTGTGAACATGGCATCAAAGAAGAGGCACCAATAAGGCACTTGGGGATGAGGATCTGGAGCTTAGAAGAGAGGTATGTGCTGGAGATGTCAGTGTAGATTGAGGGGATACCTTTCTTGGTGGTTGAATTTTTTTTTTGGACGGAATCTCACTCTGTCACCCAGGCTGGAGTCCAAAGGCGCAATCTCGGCTCACTGCAAGCTCCGCCTCCCGGGTTCACACCATTCTCCTGCCTCAGCCTCCTGAGTAGCTGGAACTACAGGCGCCCGCCACCACGCCCGGCTAATTTTTTTTTGTATTTTTAGTAGAGACGGTGTTTCACCATGTTAGCCAGGATGGTCTCGATCTCCTGGCCTCGTGATCCGCCCGCCTCGGCCTCCCAAAGTGCTGAGATTGCAGGTGTGAGACACTGTGCCCGGCCTCCCTCCCAGTTTTAAGCAATTCTCCTGTCTCAGCCTCCCGAGTAGCTGGAATTACAGGCACGCACCACCATGCCCAGCTAATTTGTGTATTTTTAGTAGAGACGGGGTTTCACCATGCTGGCCAGGCTGGCCTTGAATTCGTGGCCTCAAGTGATCCACCGCCTCGGCCTCCCAAAGTGCTGGGATTACAGGTGTGAGCCACTGCACCTGGCCTTGGTGGTTGCTTTTTTAAGGTAGAAGAGACTTAAACATGTTTTAAGGTCAAAGAGGAAGATCTGGTTGAAAGTGGCTGAGGATATAGGAGAGAGATGATCTGGTTCTTCTTGTGAAGGTTCTGAAAAGGCTTGAAGGAGGGGATCTAAAATGCTTGGTGGGATCGGGCCTGGTGGCTCACAGTGGTAATCCCAACACTTTGGAAGGCCAAGGTGGGCTCATTGCTTGAGCCTAGGAGTTTGAGATCAGCCTGGGCAACATAGTGAAACCCTGTCTCTACAAAAAATACAAAAATTAACTAGGCACATTGGCATACACCTGTAGTCCCAGCTACTTAGGAAGCTGGAGTGAGAGGATCACTTGAGCCCGGGGAGTTCAAAGTTGCAGTGAGCCATGATTGCACCACTGCACTCCAGCCTGGGTGACAGAGCGAGACTCTGTCTCAAAATACATAAATCCATAAATAAAATGCTTGGTGGTAGGTTTACCTTAGACTGCAGCAAAGAGTGAGGGGAGTGGGAAAGGTCTGGAAGCACAAAGGTGAGTGGACAAAAGAAACATGGTAGAATTTCCCAGTAGTACTGAGGATTCACTGCAGGTTGACAACTATAGACATCTTTCTTTATTTTATTTGTTTATCAATTTTTGAGATGGAATCTCACTCTGTCACCCAGGCTGGAGTGCAGTGGTGCAATCTCGGCCCATTGCAACCTCCTCCTACCAGGTTCAAGCGATTCTCCTGCCTCAGCCCCTGGGTGTCTGGGATTACAGGCACCCGCCACCACGCCCAGCTAATTTTTGTATTTTTAGTAGAGACGGGGTTTCATCATGTTGGCAAGGCTGGTCTCGAACTCCTGACCTCAGGTGATCTGCCCTGCTCAGCTTCCCAAAGTGCAGGGATTACAGGCGTGAGCCATCGTGCTGGCCTGTAGACATCTCCTTTCTACTAAGGGACTTGTCCAGTAGCTTTTAGGTGAAAGGGAAGAAGGTGGAGCAATGATTCTTCAGAAGGTTGAGTAACGGAGAGTAGGGCAAGAGTGTTCCTGAGATGAGGGGCTGGGCTGTAGGACCCGAGCCACAGGAGGAGAGTTGTAAGAGGGAAGAGGACAGCTGGCTTGGAGGAAGTGTGCCTGGGTGCTAGTGTCCTCTTGCTTTTGTAGGCTGGAAAAGGAGCTAGGAATGATGGTGGCAAGTTTTGTCGTTTGTTTGTTTGGTGGAGACGGCCCCTTACCATGTTGCCTAGGCTGGTTTTGAACTCCTGGGCTCAAGAGTGATCCTCCCACCTCAGCCTCCCAAAGTGCTGGCCAGCGGCTGGCTTTTGAGTGTGCCAGTTGTAGCTCCTACAGTCTCAGATAAGCCCATCTGTTATTCAGAGGTCCTCCTAGCTCTTGCTACAGGCCCCAGGGGCCACTGGACCTTGCCATAGAATCCATCAGTGACCATACCTGGATGCACTTGGTAAACACCAGATGGGTTGGTTGGTTGGTTTGAGACAGGGTCTGGCTCTGTCACCCAGACTGGAGTACAGTAGCATGATCTTGGCTCACTGCAACCTCCACCTCCTGAGCTCAAGCCATCCTCTCACCTCGGCCTCCAAAGTAGCTGGGACTATGGGCATGCACCACCACGCCAGGCTAGTTTTTGTATTTTTTGTAGAGACAGGATTTCGCCATGTTGCCAAGGCTAGTCTTGAACTCCTGAGCTCAAGTGGTCTGCCAGCCCGGTCTCTCAAAGTGGTGAGATTACAGGCGTGAGCCACCGCAACCAGTCACAAATGAGATGTTAAATTGGCCCTTTCCCCATGGGGCAGACTCTGACACACCTGCCCACGTGTGTCTGGCCAGCCATGTCCACGCCTGTTCCCAAATCCTGCAGACTCTGGAATGCAGCTACCCTTCCTGGGGCTTACAGCCTATCTCACAGCTTTCACATCCTGCACAAGGGAGACCAGGAAAGCTAAAATTTGCTCCCAGGGGAGTGCGGTGACTCACACTTGTAATTCCAGCACTTTGGGAGGCTGAGGTGAGAGGATCACTTGAGGCTAGGAGTTGAAGACCAACCTGGGCAACAAAGTGAGACTCCAGCTCTACAAAAAATTTCAAAAATTAGCTGGGCATGGTGGCGCCCACTTGTAGTCCCAGTTACTGGGGAGGCTGAGGGAGGAGGATGACTTGAGCCCGGCAGTTCAAGGCTGCTGTGAGCTATGATTGTGCCACTGCACTCCTGCTGGGGAACAGAGTGAGATCCTGTCTCAAAAAAAAAAAAAAGTGACTCTCTGCAAACAACCCCATTGCCCACTCTACCACCAGGAGCACTTGACTATGAAAACCCCTTTCCTGAAGGCTCTTCTTTCAGACATTCCCACTGAAACTAACATGTAAAAGCTGCGGCTCACTTTACCCCGAACCTCATGGCCCCAGAGTAATGTGCCAGAAACCGCTTATGCTCACACCATTTTGGCCCCTTCCGTGGGCCAGGAGTCATGGAGAACCACTCAGCTATATATGCAGTTCTGAGATCAGTGTGAACATTGTCAACCTTGGGGCCCTTTTGGTGGCCTTTGTGGTGCTTTGGGGACCAGATGGCCTTGAACCTCTCAAGCTTACCTGAGAGCATTTTGTATTGTGGACATATCACCTTCTGTTTTGTGAGTCCATCTGCAGATATTATACCCATGCCCTGCAGGTTCAAATTATTTATTTTAATTCATCAAATACACATACATATGGAGAAGGAGGGAAAAAAATGTACCCACTACACAGGTTTGAGGCACTCGTCATGTCATGCCACCTCTTTATTTCAAGTTCCTTGCACCAAAGTGTTGAGAAAAAAAGATGGAGGCCAGATGCTGTGGCTCACGCCTATAATCCCAGCACTTTGGGAGGCCGAGGTGGGAGGATTGTTTGAGCTCACTAGTTCAAGACCAGCCTGGGCAACATGGTAAAACCCTGTCTCTACAAAAAACACAAAAATTAGGCCAGGTGCGGTGGCTCATGCCTGTAATCCCAGCACTCTGGGAGGCTGAGGTGGGCAGATCACAATTGTCAGGAGTTTGAGACCAGCCTGGCCAACATGGTGAAACCCTGTCTCTATTAAAAATACAAAAAAATTAGCTGGGCATGGTGGCTCATGCCTGTAGTCCCAGCTACTTGGGAGGCTGAGGCAGGAGAATCGCTTGAACCCAGGAGGCAGAGGTTGCAGTGAGCCAAGATCGCACCATTGCACTCCAGCCTGGGCAACAGAGCAAGACTCCGTGTCAAAAAATAATAATAATAATAAATAACAAAAATTAGCCTGGCATGGTGGCATGTACCTGTAGTCCCAGCTACTTGGGAGGCTGAGGTGGGAGGATCGCTTGAGCCCAGGAGTGAGAGGTTGCAGTGAGCTGAGATTGCGCCACTGCGCACTACAGCCTGGGCAATAGAGTCAGACCTTGTCTCAAAAAAAAAAAAGAAAAGAAAAGAGAAAGAAAAGAAAAGAAGGAAAAGAAGAGAAAAAAGAGAAGGGAAGAGAAAAGAGAAAAAGGGATGGAGCCCACAGGTCTAAAGATGGAGGCCAGGCCCTCATCTTCAGGAATGGTAGCTACGGCCTTCCAGCTCTGCAGAAAGGTCTGTGAACTGGACCCTCAGCATCCACACAGGCATGAGATGGTGCCTTAGAGACCACCAGACCTATACCTGTAATTTGCTGTTTAGGAGGCCAAGAAGGTCAAGACCAGGAAACAGGGGTCACTCCGGAATGCATCTGGCCCCCTGTGCATCTGGATAGAGGCAGAGTTAGAGCCGGGTCCCGTGAAAAACATGAGCGTCTCTGAGGTTGGTGCCTATGACAAATGAGTGGAAGGAGGCTTCAGGAGCTCCTCTGTGACCCAAGAGCTGGGATGAACGAGACCCACATTTGTGAGAGATGCCAAAGAAATGCACCCTAGGCCGGGCATGGTGGCTGACGCCTGTAATCCCAGCACTTTGGGAGGCTGAGGCAGGCGGATCACCTGAGGTCGGGAGTTCAAGACAAGCCTGACCAACATGGTGAAACCCCATCTCTACTAAAAATACAAAAATTTGCCAGGCATGGTGGTACATGCCTGTAATCGCAGCTACTTGGGAGGCTAAGGCAGGAGAAGAGGTTGAAGCTGGGAGGTGGAGGTTGTAGTGAGCCGAGATCACGCCATTGCACTCCAGCCTGGGCAACAGAGGGAGATTCCATCTCAAAAAAAAAAAAAAAAAAAAAAGAAGGCCCGGCCTGGTGGCTCACGCCTGTAATCCCAGCACTTTGGGAAGCTGAGGCGGGCGGATCACCTGAGGTCAGGAGTTGGAGACCAGCCTGGCCAACATGGTGAAACCCCATCTCTATTAAAAATACAAAAATTAGCTGGGAGTGGTGGCAGGTGCCTGTCATCCCAGCTACTTGGGAGGCTGAAGCAGGAGAATCGCTTGAACCGGGGAGGTGGAGGTTGCAGTGAGTCAAGATCACGCCATTGCACTCCAGCCTGGGGGAAAGAGTGAGACTCTGTCTCAAAAAAAAAAAAAAAAAAGAAAAAAAGAAAAGGAAAAAGAAAGAAAATGTACCCTGATCTCAGCAGGAGCTGGCTCTCCCTGCTGAGAAAAAAAGCAGATTTGCTCCGGCTGGCTTTTCTAAGGGCTTCACATTCCTATTGTCAGAAAAGCTGCAGAATCAGAACATCCCACTTACAGGGCCCCTCGGGGATTCCAGAACTGATTTTCTTAGGTAGCCAAAGTTATTACTGTTGGCTTGTGCATTCTTTATGGAAATAAAAGTCAGGGCTTCTAGGCTGGGTTTTACATGTTAGTTTCAGTGGGAATATCTTAAAGCCTTCAGGAAAGGGGTTTTCACAGCCAAGTGCTCTTGGTGGTGGAGGGGGTAATGGGGTTGTTTGCAGACAGTCACTTTTTTTTTTTTTTTTTTTTACGACAGGGTCTCACTCTGTTGTCCAGTAGGAGTGCAGTGGCACAATCATAGCTCACAGCAGCCTTGAACTGCTGGGCTCAAGCAATCCTCCTGCCTCAGCCTCCCCAGTAACTGGGACTACAAGTGGGTGCCACCATGACTAGCTAATTTTTGAAACTTTTTGTAGAGATGGAGTCTCACTTTGTTGCCCAGGTTGGTCTTCAACTCCTAGCCTCAGGTGATCCTCCCACCTCAGCCTCCCAAAGTGCCAAGATTACAGATGTGAGCCACCTTACCTGGCCAAGAGTAACTTTTCTATTTTACCTTCCTGGTCTCCCTCGGGCAGGATGTGAAAGCTGTGAGATGGGCGGTGAGCCCCAGGAAGGGTAGCTGCATTCCAGGTCTGAAGAGGGCTGGCTAGACATTTTGGGCACAGAGCCAACTGGCTGCATCTGCTGGTTATAGAGAGTCTGGGGTGAGGCCAGGCCAGTGGCTTAGGTGGCATAGCCCAGGAAGAATAGGGCTGAGGACAGCATGGGTTAAGTGTGGAAGGGGACCCCTCCCCCTCAGTCTCCAGACTGCTTCCCTGAAGAAGTTCCCCTCCCCTTCTCTCCCCTGTGCGTAACTCTGTGAGGACCTTGTTGTGCCCTCTCTGCCCCAGCCCCCACTGGCTGGAAACAGCTGTGCTGTGGCCAAGAGGCCCTTGTCAGGCAGAATAATCTGCTTTTATCTCACACCGCCTATACGGTGGGGTGCGTTGAGCCCAGGAGGTTGAGGCTGCAGTAAGCTATGGTCACCTTGCATTGTCCTCGTGGTCTGGGGCTGGCCAGGAGCCTGGGAGATCTCTGATGGGTAGACTGGACCCCAGGAGTCCAGGCCCCTTCCACTGCAGCCAGGACAGGAGGTCTGGTACCACGTTGTTGATTTTACCGTCTGCAAGGTCCTGAGTAACAGGCTGCTGGGGTGGTGTGGAGACAGAGAAACCTAAGGTACAGGTAGGAGGAGCTGCTGCAGGGCTTCCTGAGGGCTCTCGAAGGCTTGGTGAAGCGACAGTGTCTAGATGTGTGTGTGTGTGTGTGTTTGTGGAGGGTGAGCTACTCAAGGGACTAGGGGCCACCTAGAGACTACACCCACCAGTTACTAGCTGTGAAGATCTGCGGTCTGCACGGTGGGGAGGTTTTCTTTTTCTTTTTCCTTCTTTCTTTCTTTTTTTGTGAGACAGGGTATTGCTCTGTTGCCCAGGCTGGAGTGCAGTGGCCTGATCTCAGCTCACTGCAGCCTCAATCTCCCTGGCTCAAGTGATCCTCCCACCTCAGCCTCCCATAGCTGGGACTACCGGCATGCACCACCATGCCCGGCTATTTTTTTATGTTTATTTTGTAAAGACAGGGTCTCCCTATGTTGCCCAGGCTGGTCTCAAACTCCTGGGCTCAAGCGATCCTCCCGCCTTGTGCTGGGCTACAGGTGTGAGCCGCCGTGCCTAGCGGAAGGGAGATTTTCTAGGTCCTACAAACTCCCAGGGAGTCTAAGGGCTCTTATAACCAGGAAAGGAAGGACAGGTGTGTTGGGGAGGGACCCTAGGCACAGTTCTAGTGTTGGTGGAGCCATAGGACTGTGGCCTTGGAGTCATTTTTTTTAGAGACGGGGTCTCACTGTGTCACCCATGCTGGAGTATAGTCCTGCAATCATGGCTTACTGCAGCCTGGACCTCCTGGGCTCAAGTGCTATACTGAAAGTCAAGGGTAGCTCTTGTCCATTCCACAGCTGACAGAGCAAAGGTCCCGTCCTTCCCAGATCCCCATACGTGGACCTGGCCACAGGTCCCACCTCCATTCAGAAGGCCCGCATTGAGGCTCTAGTCCGACGAGATGTGTCTCCCAGGAATTGTTAGAGGATAGTGTGTAGAGTCAATTCTGTGGCCTTGTAAAGAATTTGAGGTCGAGCCAGGCATGGTGGCTCATGCCTATAATCCCAGCACTTTGGGAGGCTGAGGCGGGCGAATCACTTGACGTCAGGAGTTTGAGATCAGCCTGGCCAACATGGTGAAACTCTGTCTCTACTAAAAATACAAAAAAAATTAGCCAGGCGTGGTTGTGCACGCCTGTTATCCCAGCTACTCGGGAGGCTGAGGCAGGAGAATCGCTTGAGCCTGGGAGGTGGAGGTTGCAGTGAGCCGAGATCATGCCACTGCACTCCAGCCTGGGCGACAGAGCGAGACTCTGCCTCAGAAAAAAAAAAAGGTTGAACACATTTTTTTTTTTTTGAGACAGAGTCTCACTCTGTCACCCAGGCTGGAGTGCAGTGGTGTGATCTCGGCTCACTGCAACCTCCGACTCCCAGGTTCAAGCAATTCTTGTGCCTCAGGCTCCTGAGTAGCTGGGACTACAGGCGCACGCCACCATGCCTGGCTACTTTTTGTATTTTTAGTAGAGACGGGGGTTTCACCATGTTGGCCAGGCTGGCCTTGAACTCCTGACCTCAAGTGACCTGCCTGCCTCGGCCTCTGCAAGTTCTGGGATTATAGGCATGAGCCATTGTACCCGGCCTAGGTTGAACATGTTTTGGAGGGGTTCTGAACAGTGAAACTTATGAGCATCCCCTCAGATTCTTAAACCCATCAGGGGCCAGGGCTAAGGGGCGTGAGAAATCTTCTTGGCTCCATCCGGTTGAAGAAACTAGAACTCTGTCCCCTTTTCCCATGTGAGTGGACTTTCCTTTGGTTATCAAAATGTAATAACCCCAACTCCTTGTCACTAAAACAAGAGGGAATTTATTAGCCCTAACAAAAAGGGCACTGTGGCTGTCAGAATGGCTGTCCTTGGCAGCGATCCTGATGCCTGGAAGGAGCTCACAGCCAGCCAGCCAGCCAACCAGCCTGCAGCTTATCGGCTCCCTCCAGGCACAGTGGGAAGGAGGACCTAACGTGTTGAGTCTTCATTCCTTCCACACAGTGCCAGAGTCCTCCAAGCCAGCTCTGAAGTTGCTACATGGTTCCAATCAGAGATGTTTTTATTTTATTTATTTACTTATTTTTATTCTTATTTTTTGAGATGGAGTCTTGCTGTGTCACCAAGGCTGGAGTGCAGTGATCTCATCTTATTGCAACCTCTGCCTTTCAGGTTCAAGCGATTCTCCTGCCTCAGCCTTGCGAGTAGCTGGGATTACAGGCACCCACCACCACACCCAGCTAATTTTTGTACTTAGTACAGGGTTTCACCATGTTGGCCAGCAGGCTGGTCTTGAATTCCTGACCACAAGTGATCTGCCCATCTTGGCCTCCCAAAGTGCTGAGATTAGAGGCATGAGCCACCGCACCTGGCAGATATTTTTTATATGTGATAGCTCCTACCAGTCTGCACATCTCAACTGAATCTTCTTGTTCTTCTTCTTCTTCCTCTTCCTCTTCCTCTTCTTCCTCTTCCTCTTCTTCTTCTTCTTCTTTTTTTTTTTTTTTGAGATGGAGTCTTGCTCTGTTACCCAGTCTAGAGTGCAGTGGTGCAGTCTTGGCTCACTGCAACCTTCACCTCCCAGGGTCAAGCGATTCTCCTGCCTCAGCCTCCCGAGTAGCTGGAATTACAGGCACCCACGACCATGCCTGGAAATTTTTTTCTGTATTTTTAGTAGAGACAGAGTTTCACCATGCTGGCCTGGCTGCTCTCGAACTCCTCACCTCAGGCGATATGCCCACCTCGGCCTCCCAAAGTGTTGGGATTGCAGGCGTGAGCCACAGCACCCAGCCTGAATCATCATCTTCTTCTTCCTTTTTTTTTTTTTTTTTTTAAGACAGAGTCTTGCTCTGTCTCCCAGGCTGGAGTGCAGTGGCATGATCTCGGCTCTGCCTCTGCCTCCCAGGTTCAAGCAATTCTCCTGCCTCAGCCTCCCGTGTAGCTGGGATTACAGGCTCGTGCCACCACGTCTGGCTAATTTTTGTGTATTTTCAGTAGAGATGAGGTTTCATCATATTCACCCGGCTGATCTGAAACTCCTGACCTCAAATGGTCCACCTGCCTTGGCTTCCCAAAGTGCTGGCATTACAGGCGTGAGCCACTGTGCACGGCCTCAACTGAATCTTCAATCACTAGCAGACAGAGATTGTAAAGCTGCCACTGGCTGAGTTTCTGGTGGCAATGTGACCAGCCACTTGTGCAACCTGAGGAACTGGCTGCAGCCTGGATTCCCTCCCAGGGAGGCCTGGGACACCCACTCAGCTCATGTTCAGTGTAGGTGCTGGATGGCAAGACCACGCACAACAGACTCCTGTTCATGAGATGGCTGGCTGCCTCCGTGTGGAAGGCAGGGACATGCTTCCTGGCCGGGTCAGGGAGCAGTGTGTGAGTGGTGTGCAGTGAAAGGAGTCTCTCTTCCCCATTCACTCCACAGGGAGAGATCAGCTCAGGGTCCAAACTCCTAATCTTCTCTCACTGCCTGCCATGTCCCACCTTAACCCTCACCTACACAGCTGCCGAGCACTCATGCCTTCCATTTAGGGGCAAAGCTGAGCAGAACCATATCACATTTATTATTTTTCTTTCTTTTTTTTTTTTTTGAGACAGAGTCTCGCTCTGTCGCCCAGGCTGGAGTGCAGTGGCATGATCTCGGCTCACTGCGAGCTCCACCTCCCGGGTTCAGGCCATTCTCCTGCCTCAGCCTCCTGAGTAACTGGGATTACAGGCGCCTGCAACCACGCCCGGCTAATTTTGGTATTTTTAGTAGAAACGGGGTTTCACTGTGTTAGCCAGGACGGTCTCGATCTCCTGACCTCGTGATCTGCCTGCCTCGGCCTCCCAAAGTGCTGGGATTACAGGCATGAGCCACTGCGCCCGGCCAACATTTATTATTATTTTGAGAGACAGGGTCTTCCTTTGTCGCCCAGGCTGGAATGATTATGGCTCACTGCAGCCTCAACCTCCTGGGCTCAAGTAATCTTCTCACCTCACCTTCCAAAGTAGCTGGGACTACAGGTGCACATTGCCATGTCTGGCTAATTTTTTAATTTTTTGTAGAGATGAGGTTTCGCTGTGTTGCCCAGGTTGGTCGCAAACTCCTGGGCTCAAGTGACCCTCCTGCCTTAAACTCCCAAAGTGCTGAGATTACAGGTATGAGCCACCATGCCCTACCCCATATAACTTTTTTTTTTTTTTTGAGACGGAGTCTCACTCTGTTGCCTAGGCTGGAGTGTAGTGGCATGATATCGGCTCATTGCAACCTCTGCCTCCCGGGTTCAAGTGATTCTCCTGACTCAGCTTCCCGAGTATCTGGGACTACCACTGCACCCAGCTTTTTTTTTTTGAGATGGAGTCTCGCTCTGTCGCCCAGGCTGGAGTGCAGTGGCATGATCTTGGCTCACTGCAAGCTCCGCCTCCAGGGTTCACACCATTCTCCTGCCTCAGCCTCACGAGTAGCTAGGACTATAGTTGCCCGCCACCATGCCTGGCTAATTTTTTTGTATTTTTAGTAGAGACGGGGTTTCACCGTGTTAGCCAGGATGGTCTCGATCTCCTGACCTCATGATCCGCCCACCTTGGCCTCCCAAAGTGCTGGGATTACAGGCGTGAGCCACCGCGCCTAGCCCAGCCACTACGCCTGGTCCCCATATAACATTTTTAAGCCAAGTTACAAAAAATATGTAGGGAAACACTAAGTTTATAAACTAAAATTTGGCTCTTAACCTACAATTATTTCACTATCATGAAACATTGCTGTTAAAGTGCAAAATAATGAACCATGATCATCTACGCTGCAACTAACGAGTCTGTCTGACACCATTCAGTTCTGAGATAGCCATCAGGATACCCCAGGGAGCTGGTGAAACTTGCAGCCACCTTTGAGCTTCCTACCAACCAATACTTATAAGAATCGCCAAGGACAGCCTGGGCAACATAGTGAGACCGTGTCTCTACAAAATTAAAAAGTAAATTAGCCAGACATGGTGACACGCACCTGTGATCCTAGCTCGGGAGGCTGACGCAGGAGGATGGCTTGAGCTTAGGGAGTGGAGGCTGTAGTGAGCCATGACCGCACCACTGCACTCCAACCTGGGTGACAGAGTGAGACTCTGTCTCTAGAAAAAAAAAAAATCACCAAGATTGGGTTTATTGAAAGGGAGCCAGGTGGCTTTAAAAATATAGAGAGAGGCTTTCGGAGGTCGAGGCAGGCAGATCACCTGAGGTCAGGAGTTCGAGACCAGCCTGGGCAATGTGGTGAAACCCTATCTCTACTAAAAATACAAAAATTAGCCAGGCGTGGTGGCTGGTGCCTGTAATCCCAGCTACTTGGGAGGCTGAGGCAGGAGAATTGCTTGAACTCAGGAGACGGAGGTTGCAATGAGCCAAGATCTCACCATTGCACTCCATCCTGGGCAACAAGACCAAAACTCCGTCTCAAAAAAAAAAAAAAAAGGGTGGGGCACGGTGGCTCACGCCTGTAATCCCACCACTTTGGGAGGCCAAGGTGGGCGGAACACAAGATCAGGAGATCGAGACCATCCTGGCTAACACAGTGAAACCCCATCTCTACTAAAAATACGAAAAATTAGCTGAGCATGGTGGCGGGCGCCTGTAGTCCCAGCTACTCGGGAGGCTGAGGTGAGAGAATGGCGTGAACCCGGGAGGCGGAGCTTGTAGTGAGCCAAGATGGTGCCACTGCACACCAGCCTGGGTGACAGAATGAGACTCCATCTCAAAAAAGCAAACAAACAAACAAAAAAAACAAAAAGGAGAGAGAGAGAGGCTGGGCACAGTGACTCACACCTGTGGTAATCCCAACCGCTTGGGATTCTTTCACTCATCTTGATGTCTGTGAGATTCATTTATTTTGTGTAAAGCAAATTTTTTTTCGTATATTTGATTGATAAGTACTCCTGGGACTACAGGAGCATGCCACCACGCCTGGCTACTTTTTGGATTTTTAGTAGAGATGGGGTTTCACCATGTTGGCCAGGCTGGTCTCAAAATCCTGACCTCAGGTGATCTGCCCACCTTGGCCTCCCAAAGTGCTGTGATTACAGGTGTGAGCCACTATGCAGGGCCAGAAGTTACCACTTTTTAAAAGTATTTTATTTTTTTTAGAGACAGGGTCTCACTGGGTTGCTCAGGCTAGAGTGCAGTGGCACAAACATAGCCTTGAACTCCTGGGCTCAAGCGATTCTGTCTCAGCCTCCCAAGTAGTTAAGACTATAGGCATGCATCACCATGACCAGCTAATTTTTAATTTTTTTGTAGCTACGGGGTCTCACTGTTTTGTCCCAGCTGGCCTCAAACTCCTGGGCTCAAGCAATCCTCCTACCTCAGCCTCAAAGACATGATCACTTTTTGTGTCCTCTCTGCTTACTCCAAGGTCTTGAAGATATGCTCTTTTCCCAACAGTGTTTTGCAGTTGTCAGTGTAGAAGTCTTGCACATTTTTCGCACATTTTTCATTAGATTGCTAGGTATTTTATTGTTTTGGTGGGGTACTATTACAAATGGCAATGTTTTGACTTTTCATTGTCTAATTACTTGTTGCTTGTAGACAGAAACAAATGATGTTTCTGTATTTTGATATTTTACTTAATTGTAGGGCAGGCAAGGTGGCTCACGCCTGTAATCCCAGCACTTTGGGAAGCTGAGGTGGGAGGATCAATTGAGCCCAGGAGTGTGAGAACAGCCTGGGCAACATGGCAAAACTCCATCTCTACAAAAAATACAAAAATTAGCCAGGCATGGTGGCACACGGCTGTGGTCCCAGCTACTTGGGAGGCTGAAGTGGGAGGACTGATTAAGTGTAGGAGTTGGAGGCTGCAGTGAGCCATGTTTTCGTCATTACACTCCAGCCTGGGTGACAGAACAAGACTCCGTCTCAAAAAAAAAAAAAAAAAAGTTACCATCTGTTTCTAGTTTGCTGAGAATTTTAATCTCCTCTTTATTTTTATTTTATTTTATTTATTTATTTTTTGAGACGGAGTCTTGCTCTGTCGCCCAGGCTGGAGTGCACTGGTGTGATCTTGGCTCACTGCAACCTCCGCCTCCCCCGTTCAAGAGATTCTGCTGCCTCAGCCTCCTGAGTAGCTGGGATTACAGGCACATGCCACCACGCCCAGCTAATTTTTGTATTTTTAGAGATGGGTTTTCATCATGTTGGCCAGGCTAGTCTCGAACTCCTGATCTCAAGGGATCCACCCACCTCAGCCTCCCAAAGTGCTGGGATTACAGGTATGAGCCACTGCGCCTGGACAGCTCCTCTTTCTTTTTTTTGAGAGAGTCTCGCTTTCTTGCCCAGGCTGCAGTGCAATGGCGCCATCTCGGCTCACTGGAATCTCCGCCTCCTGGGTTCAAGTGATTTTCCTGCCTCAGCCTCCCGAGTACTGGCACGCACCTGTAATCCCAGCTAATTACAGGCACACACCACCACACCCAGCTAATTTTTGTATTTTTAGTAGAGATGGGCTTTCACCACATTGGCCAGGCTGGTCTTGAACTCCTGAGCTCAAGTGATCCACCCACCTGCGCCTCCCAAAGTGCTGGAATTACAGACATGAGCCACCGCGCCTGGCCTCCTCTTTATTTTTGAAAAGCTAAACAGACTGTTTGCACACCCCGTTTGTGCATGGGAGAGCAGGGGCGGGATCAAGTGTGAGAAGATGTTAGCCTGCTCTAGAAGGCACCCTGGGGCTCGTGCCAGGAACTGTCAGCCTTCCCACTAACAGTCCCTATGGGCTCATCATTGCCAGGTCATCTGTAGCTTGCTGTCCTTTTCTGGTAGTTTGCTGTAACAGACATTACTAATATTTGAATGTATGATTTGAATGTCCTCACTTAATAACAAATATTATTAGAATATTTGAATTCCAAATTTCCTTGCTTCCTCAAGTTAGGTGAGAACAAGACGAAGTTCAAGTTGAGATAATGCAACTATAAACACATCTGACACCAACACCTCCTTTCCATTCATAAGAACAGTTACCTTCCAACCGTGCTAGAGACAGACACCAGGACAGTAACCCAGCTCAGGTCAATGGAATTCCAAAGACTCCAGGATTTCCAGATTTAAACCAAGTACCAGCTAAAAGAGGAGGAAAGCAGGCTGGCCCAGACATGAGGTGTTTTGTTTGTTTGTTTTTTGAGACGGAGTCTTGCTCTGTCCCCCAGCCTGGCGTGCAGTGGTGCGATCTCGGCTCACTGCAACCTCCGCCTCCTGGATTCAAGTGATTCTCCTGCCTCAGCCTCGCGAGTAGCTGGGATTACAGGTGCGTGCCACCTGATCACGCATGGCTAATTTTTGTATTTTTCGTAGAGACAGGATTTCACCAGGTTGATCAGGCTGGTCTTGAACTCCTGACCTCAAGTGACCCACCCGCCTAGGCCTCCCAAGTGTTGGGATTACAGGCATGAGCCACCGTGCCCGGCCAAAGAGGTGTTGTAAGCACAAGTCGTGACCTGGGTTGGTGAAAGCTGCAGAGCAAGCCATTGACAGTCTGGAAGCCAGACTCAGACAGGCATCTGATCCAGGGACACCTCCAGGCCAAAGTTATAGGGGGTGTGGGCTACCCAGCATTGCTTGCTTTATCGGTCAAGGAAGGCCTCTAGACGAAGGAGCAGCAGCAGTGCTGGACATAGGGCATCCCCACTGCGGACCACTGGCTTGCCACAGACCCAGAGGTGTGCAGCTGTCCTGCTAGCTCACAGCCCTGTGACTTATTTTTAGATCTATGACTCAGAGTTCTAGACCAGTACTGAGGCCATGGGGAGAGGAGTCTCTGCCTGGGGGCTGCCTTAGCATGGGTCTGTTTGACACCATGATCTCATTCCCATCAGACCATAGTTGCGGCAATACAACTTCCAGAAGGACACCATCTTTTCTTTTTTCTTTTTTGTTTTGAGACAGAGTCTCATTCTGTCGCACAGGCTGGAGTGCAGTGGCACAATCTGGGCTCACTGCAACCTCCGCCTCCCAGGTTCAAGTGATTCTCCTGCCTCAGCCTCCTGAGTAGCTGGGATTACAGGCATGCGCCATCACGCCCAACTAATTTTTGTATTTTTGGTAGAGACAGGTTTCGCCATGTTGGCCAGACTGTCTCGAATTCCTGACCTCAAGTGATCCACCCGCCTTGGCCTCCCAAAGTGCTGGGATTATAGGTTTGAGCCACCCTGCCTGGCCACCATCTCTTAAGGCATCCAGATTAGATGCCTTCTCTAAGACATGTGACAGAATTTGACAATCAGATTTGTGTTCCCCAAAGTGCATTCTGGCCTCTGCACAGAATATGGCACAGAAGAATGCAGTATGAAGAGAGGATAACCAATGAGGAGGTTAACATAGTCCACGCAAGAGGTGAAGGGGCTTTGAACCAGGGTAGAGGCAGAGAGATTTGCTCACTCTAGATGGGAAATTAAGCACAAATGTTCACCTTCTTTGCCTTTAAGACTGCCCTGGCTGGGTACGGTGGCTCGCGCCTGTAATCCCAGCACTTTGGGAGGCCGAGGCAGGCGGGTCATCTGAGGTCGGGAGTTCAAGACCAGCCTGACCAACATGGAGAAACCCCGTCTCTACTAAAAATACAAAATTAGCCAGGTGTGGTGGCGCATGCCTGTAATCCCAGCTACTCAGGAGGCTAAGGCAACAGAATCACTTGAACCCAGGAGGCGGAGGTTGCAGTGAGCTGAGATCAAGCCATTGTACTCCAGCCTGGACAACAAAAGCGAAACTCCGTCTCAAAAAAAAAAAAAAAAAAATTAGCTGGGCATGGTGGCGCATGCCTGTAATCCCAGCAACTTGGGAGGCTGAGGCAGGAGAATCACTTGAATCTGGGGGGCGAAGTTTGCAGTGAGCCGAGATCGCGCCATTGCACTCCAGCCTGGGCGACAAGAGGGAAACTTCGTCTCAAAAAAAAAAAAAAAAAAAGACTGCCTTAAAGGCTGCTTTGCCTATGGAGTAGCCATTCTTTTATTCCTTTACTTTCTTAATGAAGTTGCTTTTATTTAAAAAGACTGCATTAAGATGTCAACACATGAATAAACAGTTATAAATTGAATTGGGCAGGAATAAGCCTGTCAAGTATTTTTCTTTCTAAAATAATTTTTTATTTTTATATATTTTTTGAGACAGAGTCTGGCTCTGTTGCCCAGGCTGGAGTGCAGTGACACAATCATGGCTCACTGCAGCCTTAACCTCCTGGGCTCAAGGGATCCTCCTGCCTCAGCCTCCTGAGTAGCTGGAGCCAGAGGCACACGCCACTACGCCCGGCTAATTTTTAATTTTTTTTAAAATTTTACTTATTTTTTTGAGATAGGGTCTCACTGTGTTGCCCAGGCTATAGTGCAATGGTATGATCACAGCTCACTGCAGCCTTGACCTTCTGTGCACAAGCAGTCCTCCTTCCTCAGCCTCCTGAGTAGCTGGGACCACAGGCATATGCCACCATGGCTGGCTAATATTTTAGTGTTTTTTTTGTTTTGTTTTGTTTTGTTTTTTTTTTTTTTTTTTTTTTTTGTAGAGATGGGGTCTCCCTGTGTTGCCCAGGCTGGTCCCAAACTCTTTGGCCTCAAGTGATCCACCCGCCTCAACCTCCCAAAGTGCTAGGATTACAGGCATAAACCACCTGCGCCCAGCCAAGACTCTTTCTTTTGTTTGTTTTTTGTAACAGTATGCTGCTTAATTATAAGCCATGCCGACTGCAGCAGTGAGAAACAGGTTTGTTCACTACTTGTGCAGACCTTCAATTAGGTTTCCTGTTTTCAAGTCCCCTTCTCACTCTTGTTCCCTGTTGTACCTGCTGGCTCAGAGGCAGAAGCCTTCCAGAGGCCCAGGCAGGTGGCTCCTCCCGCACGCTAGCGCCCCTTGAGCACAGTCGAGGCGGCAGCACGCTATGCTCTGCCTGGGGTTGCCATGCTTCCAGCTGCTCTTGTCAGTCTAGAAAGCTGCTGAAAAATACCTCACAGGGCCAGGCGTAGTGGCTCACACCTGTAATCCCAGCACTTTGGGAGGCTGAGGTGGGTGGATCACTTGAGACCAGAATGAGACCAGCCTAGGCAACACGGTAAGACCCCATCTCTACAAAAAAAATTTAATAACCAGTTGGGCGTGGTGTTGTGTGCCTGTAATCCCAGCTACTCGGGAGGCTGAGTTGGGAGGATGGCTTGAGCCCAGGAGGCAGAGGTTGCAGCCAGCCGAGATCGTGTCACTGCACTCCAGCCTGGGTGACACAGCCAGACCCTCTCTCTCAAAAAATAAAAATAGGCCGGGCGCGGTGGCTCACGCCTGTAATCCCAGCACTTTGGGAGGCCGAGGTGGGCGGATCACAAGGTCAAGAGATCGAGACCATCTTGGCTAACATGGTGAAACCCTGTTACAATACAAAAATTAGCCGGGTGTGGTGGCGGGCGCCTGTAGTCCCAGCTACTCGGGAGGCTGAGGCAGGAGAATGGCGTGAACCTGGGAGGCGGAGCTTGCAGTGAGCCGAGATCGTGCCACTACACTCCAGCCTGGGCGAAAGTGCAAGACTCCATCTCAAAAAAAAAAAAAATAAAAATAGGCCAGGTGTGGTGGCTTATGCCTGTAATCCCCACACTTTGGGAGGCTGAGGCAGGTGGATCACTTGAGGTCAGGAGTTTGAGACCATCCTGGCCAACATGGTGAAACCCTGTCTCTACTATAAATGGATAAATTAACTGGGTGTGGTGGTGCGTGCCTGTAATCTCAGCTACTCAGGAGGCTGAGGCAGGAGAATTGCTTGAACCCGGAGGCAGAGGTTGCAGTGAGCTGAGATCGCACCACTGCACTCCAGCCTGGATGTTAGAGCGAGACTCAAGTCTCAAAAATAAATAAATAAATAAATAAATATCAGGATTAAAAGAAAAAAAAGGAAGATTCTTCTCTGTAGACATCTGTGGGATCTGGAGAGATTGGCATCCTACAACAAAGCCCTCTGGAATTCGGAAATCTCAAGAATAAAGATCACTACCTTAAAGCTGACACTGCTGGTTAACAAATCCTGGTCACACAGAGAGCTCCAGGGCACCCGTTTGCCTCCTTCTAATGACAGACAGCCAAGAATCCACTGATATTTTAATAAAGCCTACTACAGGAAAGAGACTAAGATGAACAATAGCAAAGGAAAGAAAATAGCAGAAAAAACTAAGAGATACAGGGATTTATTTATTTATTTATTTATTTATTTGAGATGGAGCCTCTCTCTGTCGCTCAGGCTGGAGTGCAGTGGTGCGATCTCGGCTCACTGCAACCTCCACCTCCCACGTTCAAACGATTCTCCTGACTCAGCCTCCCGAGTAGCTGGGACTACAGGCATGTGCCACCATGCCCAAGTAATTTTTGTAGTTTAGTAGAGATGGGGTTTCACCATGTTGGCCTGGCTGGTCTCAAACTCCTGGCCTCGAGTGATCCGACCGCCTCAGCCTCCCAAAGTGCTGGGATTACAGGTGTCAGCCACCATGCCCGGCCGAATGGGCAGCTCTTATATCTGAGTAAAAGAGACTTCTAGTGAAAGTACAGGGAGGATGGTATGAAAAAAATTACCCAAGCTAAAGGGAAGACACAAACCATTAAATCAAAAGGGCCTAACAACTGCCCAGCATAATACTGGAGTGAAACAAAAAGACCCACACTCTTGAGAAGTCATAACATTTCTTAACAGAAAGGATAATATGCTGTTTCCACAGAGGAAGAAACAGGTAATCTACAATGAAAAGAAAAAATCAAATTGGCATTAGACTTAACATCACTGCATGCTAGATCAAGGGTCAGCAACTAAGATAAGAATTGCTTCGACGTTTTGTTGTTAAATAAGCAAAGAAGGCTGGGGCTGGGCACAGAGGCTGATGCCTGTAATCCCAGCACTTTGTGAGGCCAAGGCAGGCGGATCACCTGAGGCCAGGAGTTCGAGACCAGCCTGGCCAACATGGTGAAATCCTGTCTCTACTAAAAATACAAAAATCAGCCAGGTGTGGTGGTGGGTGCCTGTAATCCCAGCTACTCGGGAGGCTGAGGCAGGAGAATCACTTGAAGCTGGCAGGCAGAGGCTGCAGTGAGCCGAGACGGCACCGCTGCACTCCAGCCTGGGCGACAGAGTGAGACTCTGTCTCAAAAAAAAAAAAGAAACGAGGAAGAAGATGTGACAGAGACCTTCCTGTCTAGAAAGCTCCCTAAGGAGAAATTCCAGTAAACAAAGGAATGGAAAACATGGTGCCAGCAACTCTAATTGTAGCCCAGGAGAGCAGTGATGGCAAAATCTCAGGATCATGACTTTGTTGACACCTGGAAGCAATATATTTGGGTTTTATTTGTTATTTATCTTTTTCAATTTTTTTTCTTTTTTATTAGACACCAAGATCTCACTATGTTTCCCAGGCTGGTCTCGAACTCCTGGGCTCAAACGATCTGCCTGCCTCAGCATCCCAATGTACTGGGATTATTGGTATCATCCACCATGCCTGGCCTGTTTGGATCTTAGCAGAATGGTGGAAGGTTATGGAAGAACAGTCTGTATGAAAAAAAGGAGATTTTGTAGACTGAATTATAGTATGGGTGAGGAGTTGGAAAAACTTGAGAATATGATAAAGGCAACAAATACCAGCAAGAACAAACATTCAGAAACTCCAGGAAAACCCAAAAGCTGTACAGAAAATAACTGTCCAAAGAAGAAATGGTCTGAATTAAACTAGAAAGTTGGTGAGTACAAGGAGAGTGGAATAGATTCCAAGTAACAGAGAACATCCAAGAGCCAATCAGAAACTCCAGGGGAAAAAATTGTAAACAAACAAAAACAAAACCAAGATAATACATACAGCTGGGTGCTAATTTCAGCACTTTGGGAGGTTGAGGCAGGCAGATCACTTGAGCCCAGGAATTCGAGACTAGCCTGGGCAACATGGCAAAACTATGTCTCTACAAAAAATTAAAAAATTAGCCAGTTGTGGTGGCACACCTGTAGTCCCAGCTACTCTGGAGGCTGAGATGGGAGGATCGCCTGGGCCCAGGAGGCTGAAACGAGCTGTGTTCGCACCACTGCATTCCAGCCTGAGTGACAGAGTGAGACCCTGTCTCAAAACAAAAATGCTCACTGGAGATTGTTGGTGATCTTACCAAGAACTGTTTCAGTGGAATAGGTCAAGTGGCTTGAGAAGTGAAGTCTCCCTTCACTTCAGGAATCCTGACAGTTAAACAGGAGTGGGAGGTATAGGATCCCCAGAATAATCTCCTTTCTCTTTTTTGGTTAGAGACTGGGTCTCACTATGTTGCCCCGGCTGATCTCGAACTCGTGGGCTCAAGTGATTTACCTGCCTCGGCAATCATAGCTAGCTCACTGCAGCCTCAGTCTCTGGGGTTGAAGTGATCCTCCCACCTCAACCTCCCAAGAAGCTGGGACTACAGGTATGTGCCAGCAAGCCCAGTTAATTTTTAAATTTTTTGTACAGATGAGGTCTTGCTATGTTGCCCAGGCTGGTCTCCAACTCCTGGCCTCAAGCAATCCAATCCTACCACCTCAGCCTCCTGAAGTGTTGGGATTACAGGCATGGGCCACTGCACCCAGCCCCTACCTCCTTTTAATAGGGCCTGGGATGCAGATGAGGCTGGTTTAGAGTGTGGTAAGCGTCTGAAACTGTTTTCATCCAACAGCCACCAGCTGTCTTTGAAATAGATGGTAAGACCACTTGCTGACTGCAGAGAGATGATTACAGAAATATACTGGTTTTGATGCAAAGTTAAGGGCACAGTGATTACAGAAATACACCTGGTTGAGGTATATATATACAAAGAAATATACCTGGTTGAGGTATAAATATACAAAGTTGAGGGCCAAGGTTGAGGGTAGTAATCAGCATTATTTACAGTGGCATTGATTTGCTCAACTGTGATTCTTGTCCTCAGGACTCAACCCCCTGGGTGAAGACATTGACAATGTGGATGAATGGATGCTTTTAGGGTTGAAGTTTCTCTAGGCAGGAGCTTCTCAAAAGAGAAGCAAAGGAGTTTAGGGTATTTGCAAGATAAATGAAGAGTGAGTCATGGAGTTTAGGATGGTTGGAGATGGCGGTGGAGAAAGCACGGGGGAACTAATGAAGCCGGAGAAAGTATAAAGATTCTGGACCTGGAGTTCTGCACCAGGCTAAAAACAGTTACTAAGGAAGGGAATGGGTTAGGTCACTGCTTTTTAATTTTTATTTATTTATTTATTTATTTATTTTTTGAGAGAGAGAGTCTCACTCTGTTGCCAGGCTGGAGTGCAGTGGCGTGATCTCAGCTCACTGCAACATCTGCCTCCGGGGTTCAAGCGATTCTCCTGCCTCAGCCTCCCCAGTAGCTGGGATTACAGGCATGTGCCACCATGCCCAGCTAATTTTTGTATTTTTAGTAGAGACAGAGGTTTCACCATGTTGGCCAGGATGGTCTCGATCTCCTGACCTCGTGATCTGCCCGCCTTGGCCTCCCAAATTGCTGAGATGACGGGCGTGAGCCACCGCGCCTGGCCTGAATTTTTTTATGTTTTTTTTTTTTTTTTTTTAGCTATTTCTTCAGCAAGACAGCTGGAAGGTCAAAGGGCGGGGTGTCTAAGTCTGTGATTTGGAGGTGGTTGCAGTTGAGGTTGATGGACAAGGTCCAGGTGTGTCTACAGCTTTGGGTAGGAGGGGACAACAGGAAAATGTCACAGGACAAGGACGGAAGCCAGGGTGTGGGCGAGTGTGCAGAGGAGTTAACGAAGCAGGTTTGACTGCTGTCATTTACAAGGCCTGCTTGTAAGTTTGGCTCTCGCCTGACATCTGGATTTCAGGAGGGTTCCCGCCATTCCCAGAACTGGTAGGAGTGGTGCACTGTATCCAGACTGTTGTAAACAATGTGGTTTGCTTGTGCTTTACTTCTGGGAGCCTGGAATTTTGGCACGTGCCACGCAGAGGGTGTCTGCATAATCAGCCCCCAGTAAAAACCCTGGGCAACTAAGTCTGAAGCTTCCCTGGCAGACAATATCCCACGCATGTTGTTGCAACTCCCTGCTGGAGAAGCTAAGCACATCCCGTGAGGCTCCGCTTTCTAAGTCCCCGTTGCAAGTTTGAGCCTGGTTTCCTCCAGACTTTGCCCACACATCTTTTCCCTTTGTGAATTTTGCTTTGTATCCTGTCACTGTATCCTGTCACTGTACACTGTCATAGCCATGCGTGCGATTACCCTGGGGACCCCCAGTACAGATGGGTAGATCACACAACAGCTGAAGTCACTTTGAATAAGACAGAAGGGGAGAGGAAGAGGAAGATGAGTATCAGACTTCTCACGATATGATGGGCAGAGATCAGGTCATTAAATGGTCATCACCAGGAGAGTGAGAGGATCACATAACCTCACTGGGGTAGGAGTTTTTATCAGCAGGGAAGCAAGGAGACCGCATCCACATCCTGAACACAGTTTTGTAGGGCAAGAAATATTCCACTGCTGCCAGTGAGTAAGGGCAATGGGGGAGCACTGTCCTTAGGGGACTGAGGCTAGGCACACGGAGGATTGACTCTGGATCTGCTCTAATATATACCATTATCTACATCTATGTCTACTGTACATCAGGGTTGTATGGTACTTTATGGTTAGTGACAAGCAGAGCACTACCATATGGTTCACCATGCTCCAAGTCCTCAAGAGGGCTAGGTCAGCATTCCTCTCACCCACTCTAGTTCTGGCTTCTCTCCCGAAGGAAAAAACAGTACCAGCATTATTTTAATAGCCAGAAGCTAGAAACCACCCAAATGCGGCATCAACAGTAGAAAGAAGCAACTGTGGTCTATTAACACAATGGAATATTATACTGCAATGAAAATGAACAGTCCATGGCCAAATGCAACAAGAGAGATGAATCCCAAACACAATGCTGAGTAGAGAGGCCAAACACAAGAGTATATACTGTGTAATTCCATTTATATAAAAACACCAAAGGTAATCTATGGTGTCAGAAGTCAGGACTGTAGTTAGCCTTGAAGGGATGGGGACTACTGGAAGGGAGCTTGGTGGGTTTCTGGGGTACTGTTAATAATCTGATTTATAATCTGGGTGCCGGTTACATAGGTAATTATGATGTGTACTTTTCTTTTTTTCTTTTGGAGACAGGGTCTTGCTCTGTTGCCCAGGTTGGAGTGCAGTGGTGTGGTCATGGCTTACTGCAACCTCAACCTCCTGGGCTCAAGTGATCCTCCCGCTTCAGCCTCCCAAGTAGTTGGGACTACAGGCACGCGCCACCACGCCCAGCTAATTTTTAAAAAATTACTTGGATAGGCCGGGTGCGGTGGCTCACGCCTGTAATCCCAGCACTTTGGGAGGCCGAGGCGGGCGGATCATGAGGTCAGGAGATCGAGAC
Organism: Homo sapiens; assembly: GCF_000001405.40. NCBI lineage: Eukaryota > Metazoa > Chordata > Mammalia > Primates > Hominidae > Homo > Homo sapiens. The sequence continues at coordinate 82,859 of NW_003315963.1, read as the reverse complement.
CATCCTGGCTAACACTGCGAAGCCCCGTCTCCACTAAAAATAAAAAAAATTAGCCGGGCGTGGTGGCGGGCACCTGTAGTCCCAGCTGCCGGGAGGCTGAGGCAGGAGAATGGCGTGAACCTGGGAGGCAGAGCTTGCAGTGAGCCGAGATCGTGCCACTGCACTCCAGCCTGGGCGACAGAGCGAGACTCTGGCTCCAAATAAATAAATAAATAAATAAATAAATAAATAAATAAATAAATAAATAACTTGTAGAAACAAGGTCTCCCTATGTTGCTCAGGCAATGCCAGTCATTGGTCTTTAGTGAGGACCTGTTTGAAGCAGCTCATTTCTTTTTTTTTTTTTTTTGAGATGGAGTTTCACTCTTGTTGCCCAGGCTGGAGTGCAATGGAGTGACCTCGGCTCACCGCAACCTCCACCTCTCAGGTTCAAGTGATTCTCCTGCCTCAGCCTCCTGAGTAGCTGGGATAACAGGCATGCACCACCACACCCAGCTAATTTTGTATGATTAGTAGAGATGGAGTTTCTCCATGTTGGTCAGGCTGGTCTCGAACTCCCGACCTCAGGTGATCCGCCCTCCTCAGCCTCCAAAAGTGCTGGGATTACAGGTGTGAGCCACCGTGCCGGGCTGAAGCAGCTCATATCCTATAACCACATGACACTTTCATAATAAAAATGTTTCAAAAGACACAGCCAATGACCCTTGGCAGCAGATCAAGGCCTTCAGATTTTCCCATTTAGAAATGTGGATTTTTTTTTTTTTTTTTTTTTTTTTTAGACTCTGTCACCCAGGCTGTAGTGCAGTGGTGTGGTCATGGCTTACTGCAACTTCAACCTCCTGGGCTCAAGCAATCCTCCTGCTTTGGCCTCCCAAAGTGCTGGGATTACAGGCATGAGCCACTGTGCCCATCTACTTTTCTTTTTTTCTTTTTGAGATGGAGTTTTGCTCTTGTCACCCAGGCTGAAGTGCAATGGCGCGATCTTGGCTCACTGCAACCTCTGCCTCCTGGGTTCAAGAAATTCTCCTGCCTCAGCCTCCCAAGTAGCTGGGATTACAGGAACCCGCCACCATGCCTAGCTAATAATTTTTGCATTTAGCAGAGATGGGGTTTCATCAAGTTGGCCAGGCTGGTCTGGAACTCCTGACCTCAAGTGATCTGCCTGCCTCAGCTTCCCAAAGTGCTGGGATTACAGGCTGAGCCACTGCGCCCGGCCAAATCCATTTTTGCTGAAGAGCATATGCCTGTACAGGATAATGCCAGACAGAATATACACCCAAATAGTGTCAACATGGTCAGCTGTGGGTGGTGGGATTAGAGAATTTTTTCTTCTCTTTCCTTTAAAAAACAAACATAATCTACACTGCCTGCATTCTTTGTTTCTTTTTAAAAATACCACCCAATCAGAGAAGAGGCCTGCATTCTTTTTACATGTATTACTTTTATAATGAAAATATATACCCAGTTCTGTGTTATAAATTGCAGTCTGCAATGTTCCACATATCCACTGAGTCAAAGAAACGCTATTAAGTACTGGGAATCCAGCAAGGGAGAACTGTCACCCAGCTAACCCCAAAAGAGAACATTGACAAAATGCTTTCAGTAGAAGCAAAATCCTGAATTGCAATGTTGGGATTTGCATTCTCATCAACAATCCTGCGTGAGGCCAGCATCCCAGGATTATCTGGATTAGTGTGTATGAGGATTATAGAGGTGCACTCCAGACACCTAGTAAACATGTTCCTGTCCTCTGTCCTGGAATGACTGTACACTGTTTACTGGAATTCAGTACAATCTCACCTGGGCCCAGGCCTCTCACACCCCCTTTAAGGTTGGCGATCTTCCCTAACCCTTCAGCCTGGAGGGAAAGGCTGGACCTTCTGGGCCCTGCCGTTCCTTGCTGTCTGCTCTCGGTTGTTTCTGTGCGACTCAACTCTGAGTGACTATGAGTCATTCTTTCTAAGAAAGCCTCACTATTGAACTGAAATATGCTTTGGCCTCACAGAGCTGCTTTGTTTCCTTACAACCACAACATGGGCATCAGTACATTTTAAAGCATTTCCTCAAAAAATCAACATTCATGACAAACTGGAATTATATTTAGGTCTATGTTGATATGTTCATGAGCTAAACCTGAAAACATTTTTATCAGTCAGCCAAGTTCATTAACTAGTGTACTGAGCTGGAATTTAAAGGACACCCTACCACTGGCTCACAGCTCTGCACCATCACCGAGAACAGAAACCACATCGGATTCAGAGTCCTACCTCGTGCTCTTGGAACCGGATTTACAGAATGTCTCAAACCACAAGCTTCCTTTTCTGGACACTGGCTCCGATAAATAGGATAAGAACCTTTGCACCGCTCCTTAGAGGGCTGGGATGGATCCCACAGGAGCAGTGCCTGGTCCCTGGACCACTAGCTTCCCAATGCACACATGCACTGTTGGCTGCTGGCTGGCTGGCTTCCAAGCCTCTGCTAGTCAAAGCTCTCTCTCCCACTTCCCTTCCTTGACCAATTTCTGTTTGGAGGACACTGCTTCCAAGAAGTTGTCTGTCTCCCCATCTTGGAGAAGCCAAGGCAGCCTGCTAAGCAAATCTCCTTTTAGCATCTTCAGATTGACAGATTAATGGTACTATGATACTTCCCTAAGTTTGATTTCAATTTTACTAATAATACGTGGTTTTTTTTTTTTTTTTTTTGAGATGGAGCTTCGCTCTTTTTGCCCAGGCTGGAGTGCAGTGGCACAATCTCAGCTCACTGCAACCTCCGCCTCCCAGGTTCAAGCAATTCTCCTGCCTCAGCCTCCCAAGTAGCTGGGATTACAGGTGCCCGCCACCACACCAGGCTAATTTTTTGTATTTTTAGTAGAGACGGGGTTTCACCATGTTGGTCAGGATGGTCTCGATCTCTTGACCTCGTGATCCACCCGCCTCAGCCTCCCAAAGTGCTGGGATTACAGGCGTGAGTCACCGCACCCAGCCTAATACTTGTTATCTTTTAAACAGAGTCAGAACAGGCCAGGCACAGTGGCTCACACCTGCAATCCCAGCACTTCAGGAGGCCGAGGCAGGTGGATCACCTGAGGTGAGGAGTTCGAGACCAGCCTGGCCAACATGGTGAAATCCCATCTCTACTAAAAATACAAAAATTAGCTGGGTGTGGGGGCACACGCCTGCAATCCCAGCTACTCGGGGGGCTGAGGGGAGAGAATCACTTGAACCTGGGAGGCAGAGGTTGCAGTGAGCTAAGATCGCGCCACTGCACTCCAGCTTGGGTGATAGAGTGAGACTCCGTCTCAAAAAAACCCCAAAACCAGTCGGGACAGGTAAACTAAAGCAAATTGGTGACACCTGCACTCCTACAGGAAGAGACCATTCACCTGGATTACTTTATACCATGACACTCTCCCCACCTTTACTATGTAAAACAGCTTAATCTCTGAACTAACAGGGCAGGGGGATCCTGCAACACACTGAATCCAGATGTGATTGGATGGCCTAAGTAACCCTTCTCAGGAAAAGAAGTTGCTTCTCAGCCATGCTGTGGACAGAGGGGCCCTGCAGAAGGAGCGGCTTCTCTGATGGGCAGAGAACCCACAGAGGCAGGGACAACTGGCATGCAAAATTAAGAGACAGAAGGAACACAAACCCTATGCCAGGAATAAAAACGAAATAAAACTCAGTACTCAAAGCACCCAAACTCTGGAGGAAACTCGAGTCTCAACCTCCCCATTTCCCCTGATTCCATCCTGCAAAACTGTTCCCTCCTTTCCACTTAGTCCCATCCCTCTCTTCATGCCCCAGTCACAATCTGGATATACTGGGTTTGGAAGGATGGGAAAAATGCTAAGATAATCCTACTGTGGAAAATATATCAACACCCCCAAAGCAGGAACCAGCTTTGGTGTTGTACAGTCATCTTCCCAAACCTAGCTAATCACAACTACCTGTGGGATCAGTAAGATTCCTAGGACCTACTAGAGAAGGGGTCCCTGATCCCTGGGCAGCAGAACGGTCGTGGTCCGTGGTCTGTTAGGAACCAGCCTGCACAGCGGGTGAGAGGCGGGCTGATGAGTGAGCATTACCATCCGAGCTCCACCTCCTGTCACATCAGCAGCAGCATTAGATTCTCATAGGGTTGGAAACCCTATCGTGAGCTCTGCATGCAAGGGACCTCGGTTGCGCACTCACTGATCATGCCCGATGATCTGTCACTGTCTCCCATCACCCCCAGATGGGACCATCTAGTTGCAGGAAAACAAGCTCAGGCCTCCCATTGATTCTACATGATGGTGAATTGTGTAATTATTTCATTATATATTACAATGTAATAATAGAAATAAAGTGCACAATAAATATACTTGAATCACCCCAAAACCATACCCCCTGCTCATCTGTGGAAAAACTGTCTTTGGTGAAACCAGTCCCTGGTGCCAAAAAGGTTGGGTTCTGCTGTACTAGGGAACTTCAGAATCACTCTCTGGGCCTGGGAATCTGTACTTAAAAATGCTCCTTGGTAGATTCTGATCAGAGATTTGTGAAGCACTGACAGAGAACAGGATGAAGCCCTAACTCCTATGTGGTAATGTTTCCACAATGCTGATGTGCTACAGGAAGTAAGTTCCCTTTATTATTAATATTCCCAAGCGGACAATTTCCTAAGTAGTAAATTTTTTTTTTCAAGTTGGCAGGAAATAATTTCCCACTTACTGTCTTTCCATGTGGAGGGACTTTAGCCAGTGTTTCTCAGAGTAGAGGAGCACTACTGCACTTTGGGTTGGACAACTGATTGTGTGGCACAGCACAGGACATTTACCATCCGGGCCCTTACTTTTAAATACCAGTGGTGATCCCCAGTGATTGTGACAACCAAAACACATCCCCTCACATTCCTCAGTACTCACGCACCACTTAATGATGTTTTGGTCAACGATGGACTGGGTATACAATGGTGGTCCCAAAGATTATGATACCGTATTTTTACTATACTTTTTCTGTTTAGATATGTTTTAAATACAGAAATACCACTGTGTTATGACTGCCTACAGTATTCAGTACAGTAACATGCTGTACAGGTTTGTAGCGAGGAGCAACAGGCTACACCATATAGCTTAGGTGTGGAGTAGGCCATACCATCTTCATTTGTGTAGTACACTCTCTGATGTTCACACAATGATGACATTGCTTAACACATTTCTCAGAATGTGTCATGGCCGGGCCTGGTGGCTCATGTCTGTAATCTAGCACTTTGGGAGGCCAAGATGGGAGGATCATTTGAGCCCAGGAGTTAGAGACCAGCCTGGGCAACGAAGTGAGACCTCATTGCTATTTAAAAATAAGAACATGTCGCTATTATTAAGCAACAGATGACTGTGTTCCTAGGATGTCAGGTAACCCCACCGAGAGCCACTGTGCTGCACTGCTGTTCCCGACCTCTTGCCCTACCATCACATGAAGCCCAGCTTTTGGAGCGAACTGTTTTAATAGACAGATTCTGCATCTTCTTCATGCGTCTGCCCACAGGGAGTGTGTTCTGGCTGCTGTTTCCAGCCTGGCCTGTGCCTGGGTGGCTCAATCTCCTCATGTCACGGATCTGATCTCAGAAGTATTTTATTTACACACAGGAGGGGAAGGAAGGGGCTTTTAGCTTTCCCTAAACATCTGCAACAATAACTCAATCTTAGAAATAAAGTAACTGATTTATAGTTATTACAGGGAATACAAACATTATAATTCCGCTCTTCCATTTAAAAGATTCCTTTCATTATGTTCCTACTGAAACAGAATGTTACTATTTAAAGAGAAAGAACTTTGACGAGCATTTTTTATTGAACAGTTTTATTCTGTTTTAGAATAAAAACTTTGCTTTAATATTGTAAGGGGTACTGCAGGTATGCCATGCTGCCAGTTATTGCTGGGGCACAAAACGCCCCAGTCAGTGATTCGGAGGGCTGGGAAAACGCATAAACTCATAATTTCAGAGCAAGTAGAACTAGTATTTACAGTTTTCTTTCTTGAAATTGGCCCGGGACATCTCCAACAGTCTACACATGTATTGCCATGGTACTTGCTCTGATGCTCTGAATGCCTCGGAACTGTGTTCAATATCATGATTTGTGGGTCCTCTAAAAGGTTTTGTTGTTAACATGCAAGCAAACAGCACTGAACAATATTGTCTAAACTATGGCTGCCAAGTACTGGATCTTCATAATGAAACCAAATTACAAAACACTGCCTTGTAGAGCTATACAAAAGATATAAAATGAAAATAAAAAATGTCAACCAGCCTTAAATATTCCAATTCTCCTACAGTGCAGTTTCTATATCTTTATCACTACTGAATGTTTTAAGGAGAAAGTTAAGAAAACAATCAAAATATTAGATAAAAATATTTAAATCTTTGGATCCTTTTATTCCATGGCCTTCATAAAAACACAAAAGTGGCCAGATTTTTCCCACTAGAGCTTAAAATATCAAAAAGATTCACTAGTAATTTATAATTAGCAATGAACTCTATACTGAGTCATCTGTGGGTCATCATAGGCCCAAGGACCAGTGTTGCCGTGTGTTACAGGCTACCAAAATAATTTCTAGCACTCTGAATCCTCTTGAAATATGATGGAATGAGTCAAGGTATCATGACTAAATTCCAGGCATAATAGGAAAAACAGGTTCATTGATGCCTAGTTTTAAAGTCCTACAAAAGGGGGGAAGATTACTTATTTGAAAATACAGCTAAGTACATTCTCATCTGTGATTATTTACATTTGTATACTGAAAATATCGATTATCTGGACAGATCCTGTGATATGCCATTTGCTACAAAATGAAGTTCTTACAATGAGCATGAATAATTAATCCTTTTTAGATAATGAAATAATGTATCAAATCTTCATTTATGTTCCAAACATTAAAAAACAAAATCAAAAATGTTAAGCCTGGAAAACTAAGAAAAAAAGACCCACCCATAAGGCTGCTGCTCAGCACATCAACTTCTGCAAGGACACAGTATGTTTGCTGACTTTAAAATGTTTATTCTTTAAAAAATTAGTTGCTTTTTATACAGCTATACAAAGTTCTTAATGTTTCTTTGGCAATGGAATATAATGGAATTTTACAACTATATAAAAAAGTTACCTTTGCCTAAGAAACAGTATTTACTGTGTGTACATAGTTGACTGACAAAATTCTCTACCATCCAGCACCCTAATTAATTGACGAAATAAGCTACCTCATATTACAGGATTCCCCAAAAGAAAGGAGGAAAAAGACACACACATACACACACACACACACACACACACACACACACACACACACACAACCTTCTGTGGCTCAAAACACAGTATCACGGCCCTATCTGCAGGCAACTTGCAATTGCCAAATACAATTTAGTGATAAAAAAAAAAAACCTTTCAGTGATGAAAAAATACTTGTTAAGTCCCACTGAAGTACTGCTTTAGTTTAACTATACATAAGAAATTACTTAACCTTCTGCTATTCCAAATATATTTAATGCTCATGTTTTAAGATGAGCCTTCCACCCCCAAAAGTAACTGCATTTTATCTTTGAAATTAAGCGGAAAAACAAACAAAAAACAAAAACCCAGTGCTGGTGACAAATGTACAGCGAATTCACTTCTTCATTCTTTGCAAAGACTGAAATCAATGTTCAGGACCATGAAGAGCTAGAAATTCACCTATTTTCAGAGACTTGTTTGTAGACTATGCAGCAACTTTGTTGTCTTTCTAAAAAAGAAAAAAAAATTTAGCTCATGTTCCAAATTATTGGTGTATTATTTTCTTTTTACTTTGCTCAAGTTTATTTTAAATTATCTTTAAATATACTCCCCCACTTTTACTTTCATAGAAAAACCTGTCTCACTCATTTCCACGAAACTCCTTCTATAACTTCCATACTCAGTAGTACCTCATTGTTGACTGCATCTTCCAGTCAGTAGAGGTTAATGCAGTGGTGAACCCCACCCCAAAATACAGGCATACTTCCTCATCTTTGGTTGTTCTCCCTAATAATTTTTTAAAAGCAGTGATAGGACTTAAACCCTCAACTCAATAGTCAAACTCATCAAATACAACTGTCAACATACTTTGAAACAAGTTTCATAAAATCCCCAAGTCTTTGATGTCTTTACTAAGCAATAAAATACCCAGTCAGTATAACATTTCTCTCCAAAATTTCATGCCAGGAGGAAGCAATGGTTTAAAAATCAATTTTACAAGGATAACTCTTAAATCTGAAATAAGCTCTGAAAAGTAGAAAGCTGACTGGGGAATTTTTAAAAAGTAACCAGTGAGGAAGCAATAAAAATCTCAAGATTTCCAGAGAGACTGACCCTAAACTAAAGGCCTGTACAAAGGGCTGGAGCCAAGGGCTTTTATTTTCCTCTAGACCAGCTGCTACCATATACCTGGTTTTTACTGCTGATTCTCACCCCAACTGTTAGAAACAGACATTTCCTAGGTGAGACTTAACTTCATCTGTGTATACAACACCAAAACATTTGCACCCCGTTATTAAACTGAAATACATATGGTATGGCATAAGTTGACAGCAATGAGCTACAAGATGAACCTGCTGTCCCCCACAAAGCCAACCTTCACACCTCCCAAAGTATTTGTTTTTTTTACCTTTCAGAAAGCAGTACGATCAATCCAGACCTTTTAGGGTCCAAAAGCTGTGGTTTTCTGAAAGGTAAAAAAAAAAAAAAAAAAAAAAAAGAGAAAGAGATGGGGACAGGAGAGGGAGAAAGGAGAAAATGAAAGGGGGAGAGGAGAGAGAGCATTATGCTGAGTCATTCAGACACCTTGTTGTCTTTGAACCCCATCTGAGGAAACACAGATGTGATTTTTTATCACCCACCATGGTGGCTTAACCTCCCTGACAGCAGCATATAAAACAGGAGCTGGTTACATTATTATTGCTAGTCCTGATTTCCATTCTCACCTCAAAAAAGAATGGGCGGTGGGAGGGGGAAAACACCATACAACCAAACTTACCATAAGGTTATATTTCTTTCTTTTCTTTTTTTTTTTTGAGACAGGCCTCGCTCTGTCACCCAGGCTGGAGTGCAGTGGTGCGATCATGGCTCACTGCAGCCTTGACCTCCCAGGTTCAACTGATCCTCCTGCCTTAGCCTCCTGAGTAGCTGGGACTACAGGCATGTGCCACCACTCCAGCTAATTTTTAAACTTTTTTATAGAGATAGGGACTCCTTATGTTGCCCATGCTGTCCTTGAATTCCTGGGCTTAAGCAATCCTGCCCTGGCCTCCCAAAATGCTGGTATTACATGTGTACACCATTGCACTGGCCTATATTTACAATATTACCCTTAAGGAAAATCAGGCCACAAGTCAAGAGAGTGAGTTTTGGATTTGTTAGCTTGTACCTCAATCATGACAATTAACTTCTTGGGGTCCTTAGTTTCCTTATCATCTAATGTGAGTGTGGTAGCGTAGAGATTCTAGTTTGGCTGATTCTTTTAAGGATTCTAAAACTTTATGATTTTATCTTTACCCATGTTTTCATTAAACAACCAAGCTCATTTATGCTTACCCCCAAACCACAATGACTCATGCTAATATAGCACAAAAAATAAAGCCAACTCATTTCATGAAGGCTGCAGAAATGTCATCCATGTCCATCTCTGGGAGGAAGTGTTAGATGTTTCAGATACAAGTTTAATCTTCAGTGGTAAATCTCCTTTATGTGACAGTGATCACTCACCATTTTCTACCTTTAAAGGTGCCAGGTGAAATGATTTTATGATTTAGGAGGTGTAGGGCTGCTGGGTTCGGGGCTCTAGTGGCAGATGAAAGGATTATTCAACTCTGGAATGAACAATCAAAGGCTAGCTACATTGACAGACCTTTGGTCTCACTGAAGGCTGGAGTGGCAAATTCCTAATCAACATGACAAGCAATTACTTCAAGCCCACTATGGCTCCATGTTGAGCTGAGTGTTGTCATGGAAAGAAAAGTAGAATACATATTCACTAAAGCCAAGAGGTTCTCATCTAGCTGGTGATGCAGAACAAAACTAAATACAAAAAATAGGGAATGTCAGTGTATTTAAAATGTGTGCCAAAGAAAGCAGATAGCCACAGGTCAGAAGAGGAGGAAATCAGTGTAGGAAGGAAGAGAAGACAGAGCAAAACTTGGGCAAGGCTGTAAAGGATAAGTGAAAGGGGGGACCTGACTTTTAGCTATGTCTGTCTCCCACCAAAATGTAAACATCAAAAGGGCTGGGCCTACATCGGTCAGCACCAATGCTCAACATAGTGCCTGGCATATCTGAAGAATTCTGTATATTTGGTAAATGAATGGGGATGGAGTTGGAATCAAGCACAATGTGTATGTGAGATAACCATGAGGCAGCTTGCTTGAATCAGATAGGTTAAAGGGTAATGAGGAATGAGGCCAAATATATCAAGTGGGATCCTCACACAATTAAGAAGAGCAGGGACTACAATGTCACAACTGAGCCTCCTAAACACTGGGCCATGCCTGAGGGTTCGCTGAGTCCATCACTCCTGGCAACACCTAAGCAGAGGCTGGACTATCTGTCAAGGATACAGGAGCGTAGACAAAGATGCATGGAGGTAACTATGACAATGCATTTTCAATTCTGCAATATATGTGATACGAGTTTTACAAAAGGCTCAAAATGATAAACAGTGTGACATGGTGTCAAAAAAATGTTTGTATTAGTAACCACATGGAGCACACACAGTTACTGCATGGAAGGTTTGTTTTTTCCTTTTTTTGAGACGGAGTCTTGCTCTGTCGCCCAGGCTGGAGTACAGTGGCGTGATCTCGGCTCACTGCAACCTCTGCCTCCCAGGTTCAATGATTCTCCTGCCTCAGCCTCCCGAGTAGCTGGGATTACAGGTGTGTGCCACCACGCCCGGCTAATTTTTTTTATGTTTTTGGTAGAGACGGGGTTTCACCATGTTAGCCAGGCTGGTCTCGAACTCCTGACCTCAGGTGATCCGCCCACCTCAGCCTCCCAAAGTGCTGGGATTATAGGTGTGAGCCACCACGCCCAGCTGAGATTGTAACAGTTAGAACATCCCTGGGGTGGGATGGATGCCCTTGGGAAGAGTAAGCTCCCAGCCCCTATAAGAGATACTGCAGAAGAGGTTTATGTTTTAACCAGGTCAGACCTCTCAGATGTTTTCCAACTCTGAAAGTTTAATGATCTTTAAAAGGTGTTATTTCAGAATAAATGGTGCAACTCTTTATTCACAAATGTCAAAACCAAGGGTCTGAAAGGTCATACTAGTAACTACTGCTATTATTCTCATCTGGATCCAAGTCTAATTTAAATGTACTTTTTCTCAGACCAAGCTGACTCAATGTGGTCTTCAACAAGGAGTTGTCACAGGTTGTTCAAAATGTAGCTGATCTGCCTTAAAGTGGGGTAAAGAGAGACGAAGGTCTGAAGCCCAACTGGTGGGTTACCATGGTAGTTGACAGGGACATCTCAAAGGAATAAATGGCAACAGGCCACAATCATGGATACCTCTAGTGCCTGGGCAGTATACCATGAGCCAACATGGAACACTGGGAGGAGGCAGAGCTGAGATGACAGGAGAGAAGGAAGATGATGAGATCAGTCTGAGGAAGGTTAAGCTGACAGCAAACAGTGCAGATAGAGATGCGGTGCAGAAACACATAGGGTCCAGGACAGGCTTACAAAAGGGAGGATGGAACAAGCACCATGGCACACCTATAAACCCAGCACTTTGGGAAGCTGAGGTGAGAGGATCGCTTAAGCCCAGGAGTTCAAGACCAGCCTGGACAACATAGTGAGAGTGGGACCCAGTGTCTACAAAAAAAATTAAAAATTAGCTGGGCATGGTGGTGCATGCCTGTAGTCCCAGCTACATAGGAGGCTGAGGTGGGAGGACTGCCTGAGCCTGGGAGGTTGAGGCTGCAGTGACTTATGATCATGCCATTGCACTCCAGTCTGGGTGACACAGCAAGACCCTGACACCCTCCACCCCCCAAAAAAAAGAATGAAGAGTATTAAAAAATTAGGAAGAGTATAAATTGAAAACCTAGAAGAGTATTTTAAAGACTAGGAAGAAAGACCCCAAATTGGGTGGTTGGTCAGTGTCAAATATTGCAGAGGAGTTAATGGCAAATAAAATATTTGTGAAAATACTACTGCTGAATTCTGTAAGCAAGGTGTCACTGGCAAACTTAAGGGCAGTAACAGTGATAAGCGAGGGCTATTCTGGAGTTCCTAAGACAGATTCTCCTAGCTGGGAAGGTGATTTTGCAAGTCAGAAGTCCCGCAACTACATAAGGCCACCAACGGCTGGATGGCATAAGCTGGTGACTTGAGTATAATTTTTGGCAGTCTTGGCTGTGATGGCACAATATCAAAAGCATTAAAATTAATAGAGCAGGTCCAAAAGCCACTAATACTGATCTCTTTCCAGAGAGATCTCAACAATGGCCAGTTTTAAGTACTGGGCAATGGAACTCCTGCTAACAGGTCTTTCTGTTTCCAGCTGCCTGTTGCTATTACAAGTGGAACTCTTTACAAGATTTTGGTCCTTTCTGTTATAGCCCTTCCTCTCCACTACTTCTAAAATCAATAAACTAAGATAGTTTACTGTTAACTGAGATAGTTACTATGCTGACTTAATTTACAGACACCTGTCAAAAGCTACATTATACACATAAGGCTACTATACAGAGTTACAGAATTCTCTAGCAGTAGCTCCTGAAGGCCAATATATCGAAACATTTTCAATTTCATGGTGAAAGGAGAAAACCAGGGAAAATGTAGTGAATTTTCAACAAAACCAAATTAAGAGTACTGACTCAGGAAACAACTTGCTGGGCTCAACACCCAGCACCATCACTTACTAGCTATGTGACCTTTCGCAAGTTACTTAATATCTCTATACCCATTTCCTCACTTGTAAAATGGGGATAATAATAGAACCTACCTCACAGAGTTGATGTGCAGTTTAAATAAGTTAATATGTAAAAAAATATTTAAAACAATGTCTTGTTACTTGGTAAATACTATATAAATGTTAACTGCTATTAAATGTTAAAGCTTGCCCTTCCATTCTGGGAGTATGTGCTTCCTAGATAGACTCTTTGGGTGTTAAAAGTATATTCTGTTAACATGAAATAAAGGTGATACTATACTGTCTTTTTTTGTATAATGTCTTTATATATACATCTGAATCACGTATATCCTCTACTGAAAAGTCAAAATGGAAGTTATTCTAATGTCCTCAAAACAATTCACCCAAAACAAAAACAAGTAAAAATGTTTTGAGTCTTGTAAAATGCATGTCAACCCCAAAGAATTTATTAACAGTAACACTTACCCTATATTCAAAATCCGCAAACTCCCGGCCCCCACGACCTCCTCTGAATCCACCGCGAAATCCTCGAGGGGCAGTGAAGGTACCACCTCTGCCACCACCACGCCCTCTGCCACCACGGAAACCAAGACCTCCTCTGCCTCTGTATCCCCCACGGCCACGGTTTGGACGAAGTGGGATTCCAAATGTTTCAGCATTTAATCTTCTTTCTTCAGCCCAGGTTGGTCTCCGTTCTCTATTATAAAAGCAAATAATCTTCAGCATATCAGGTTTAAAAGAATATCCCTCAGCCAAAATATGCAGTGCTACTCCCAAATTAAGCCTAAGTAATTACTAAAGCTAATTAGAAATAAGCATCTTGGCTAGGCGTGATGGCTCACGCCTGTAATCCCAGCACTTTGGGAGGCCGAGGGGGCGGATCGCCTGAAGTCAGGAGTTCGAGACTAGCCTGGCCAAAATGGTGAAACTCATTCTCTACCAAAAATACAAAAAATAGCTGGGCATGGTGGCAGGTGCCTGTAATCCCAGCTACTTGGGGGGTTGAGGCAGGAGAATCACCTGAACCTGGGAGGTGGAGGTTGCAGTGAGTCGAGATCGAGCCACTGCACTACAGTCTGGGTGACAAGAGCGAAACTCCATCTCAAAAAAAAAAAAAAAAAAGCATCTTATCTAAGTTATCACGAGTTGTTCATGGCATATGAGTTCAATATGTTCCTGTAATATTCTGTTAAACTTCATGTGAACACATGACTGACATTAGTTTCTTGCAAATACACCTGATAAACATAGTAACAGCTCCAAAATAATGGAAATTCAGATATAATGAGATTGGTAATTGACTTCGCTTTCCACTCAGCCCCAAGGGAAAAGAAGGTAAAGTCAGACAGGGAGGCCTTGTCTTGGGAAGCTAGGAGATGGAAGGTTGGCCCTTAGGTCCCCATTATGTTCCTGGCCCAATCTATGGACCCGATACCAAGTAACCCAAGAAGTATCTGAATTATTGCTGCTGTCATCCAGCCAATCGTGGGACTCAGAATTATGTCCATCCATGTTTATATTGAAGCAAACAACTGCCACCAGAGGGCACCAAACTTCAGCCAGGAAAAGGACAAGGACAATGACAATTTGGATTGGGCAGGAGAACCTCTAGAACTGTTAGTTCCTCACACTGGGTCCTTTAATTAACCTCTCAATAATTTGCCAATTTTCTGGACCCACATTTACTACAATCTGGCAGTTTTATGGTACCAGCAAACTTCAAAGTAGATTAGCACTTCGGTTCTGGCTTCATTTGAACTGTAACATACAGGGGTGAAAAAAAGGTCCTACTTAGACATTACCTAAATGCTTGTTTTAATTGCTAATATTCAAATATGAATATATCCTTAAACAAAAGTATATGGTTATTTCTTCTTTTGAATGAATAATTTAGAACTTTAGTATATATTTTCTTTTAGCAAATAAAACATTAAAAAATCAATTATGGCCAGGTGTGGTGGCTCACGCCTGTAATCCTAGTACTTTGGGAGGCTGATCTTGAGGCCAGGAGTTCACGATTAGCCTGGGCAACATAGCGAGACCCCCATCTCTACAAAAAAATGAAAAAAATTAGCCGGGTGGGGTGGTGTACAACTGTAGTCCCCTTTACTGAGGCTGAGATGGGAGGATTGCTTGAGGTCAGGAGCTTGAGACTACAGTGAGCTGTGACTGCACTGCTGCTCTCCAGCCTGAGTAACAGAGTAAGACTGTCTCAAAACAAAACAAAACAATTATGGTAGTATTCATTAAACCTCGTGAATTTACATGAAACCATTTTACACTTCAATCAATATCATAAGATAAAAGAACAGCTTAAAAACTGTACCTATTGTCATCACAAGAAATATTATCAAAGAAGGATTTAGTTTTGTCATAATAGCAATTAGGTCCAAGTGGATCTTCTTCATCGGCATTTCCTTCACTGTTTTGGGTATCAACTCCTGAGTCTCCTTTATCTTCACCATTTACAGGCTTCTCCTGTTTCTCAAGTTTATCTTCTAAGAACAAAAGCACATATCAGAAAAGTCAAGACAGCTAATCTGAATTACATAAAAACACCTAATCTGAGAAACATCTGTAATTCACAGATCAAATAAGATTATTTTCTGAAAAGAAAAATCAAAGCTTACCTTTTAATTTAAGTTTATTATGAAACTCTCTGTCAATCTCTTCCTTGTTGAATTGTGCATTTGCACTTTCAAAGTCAAAGTCTTTCTCAAATTTCATTGGCCCATCTCGCCGAATACCAAATCTTCCCCTGCCACCCCGATGACCCCCACGCCCTCTCCTTGGAGCTGAAGGAGCACCTGGAGCTATGATAATAAAGAATATATACAAAGGACATTCAATATGTAATAGCTGGTTTAGCACAGATGTTGCTATTGTGCTCTTTAGATTCAACAGTCAACAACAGAAATGCTTACAGGTCTCTCTATATATTTTATTGTATTTGTATTTTTTATACAAAATAAAAAATTAAGTTTCACTAATATTTAATATGTAGACTGAGAATAGCTCACACAAAATTTCTAAACATTTGTATTTATGGAGTCCACACTCACATGTGTTACTGACAGAGTATACAGCCAGGCAAGTGTGGAGGCTTCTGCACTAAATTAATGTATGCTCCTTGAGGTCAGGGGCTTTGTTTTCCTTACTGCTATATCCCCAACACCGGCAAACTGAAGTGCCAGACACACAGTGGGTTCTCAAAATGTAGAAAGCCTTTTATGGAAAGAATAACAGGAACCAAGATTTATAGTAAGAAAAATAAACACTAATCGGCACAAATTGCAAGAAAATAGGTGTTATTTCCACATCACAGATAAAAAACAGACAAGCACCAATCCTTACTGACTCAAAACACTTCCTACTCCATCTTTACTGTGTCTCTCCAGATGGCTCTATATTATTCAAGCCTTCCTGTATCTACACATTCTCTCTCCTCTATAACACAGTAAAATTTCAGCCAATCATAAGAGACATGATAAAGCAATACAAAGCAGCATAATTTATAGTGAAAAACGTGGGAACCCAAATATCCAACACAAGAAAAATGACTAACAAGAAAAAAACAGAGGAAGAATATTTGATGTTAACTGAAAAACGCAGAACAGAAACCAGTATGAGTTTAATGATCACAATTGCGTGAAATGCTCCACACATACTGACAAGGATGAGAAGTGACTACAGGGTAACAAGATAGGTTTGCGCTGTTTGCTGAGGTTTGGCAAACTGCCTGGGTTTGAGAAAACAAACCACAAAACCCCACAGCAGCATATCCAGACATAAATCTAGATAAGTAGGATGTTTGAAACATTCACCTCTACTATTAAAAATGCCTCGGCCACAAGCCAGAATTACACCATGATCCTTCTGTCTTAAAAAAAAATATTTTGGGGCCAGGCGCGGTGGCTCACGCCTGTAACCCCAGCACTTTGGGAGGCCGGGGCGGGCGGATCACGAGGTCAGGAGCTCGAGACCAGCCTGACCAACAAGGTGAAACCCCATCTCTACTAAAAATACAGAAACATTAGCCAGGCGTGGTGGCGTATGCCTGTAATCCCACCTACCCAGGAGGCTGAGGCAGGAGAATGGCTTGAACCCGGGAGGCAAAGGCTGCAGTGAGCAGAGATCGCACCACTACACTCCAGCCTGGGTGACAGAGCGAGATTCTATCTCCAGGGGGAAAAAAAAAAAAAAAAAAAAAGGTTTTGGGTATAGATGTCTGTGTCTGTAAAATCTACAAAAAAAATCGGGAAGAATATGCACTGTTCTGTTAATGAACCTCTTTGGTGGGGTGAGTTTTGAAGGGCAATGAAAGATAGTATGGCAGTTATTTTATTTTGGGAGGGGAGCTCTCTCTTTTTCTGAATAAAAAGGGTAAAATATAATGAGTCAAATTAAACAAAATTCTGTATTCCATGGCATATGTAGTCCCAGCTACTCAGGAGGGTGAGGCAGGAGAATGGCATGAACCCGGGCGGTGGAGGTTGCAGTGAGCTGAGATCGTGCCCCACTGCACTCCAGCCTGGGTGACAGAGGTTGACTCTGTCTCAAAAAAAAAAAAAAAAAAAAAAAAAAACACGGGGGGGGGGGATATAAAAATATATATATATATAAATGTAGAGAAGAGTACATATACATCTAAAAATATCATATCTAGATTTCTAAAATTAAGTGAAAGATCATTTTTCAATCATTTTCTAAATAAGGTAGATTATACATTCCCTTTTTAATTTAGAAGAGTTGTAAAATTATAATTTATTTTCCATTAATAAATTTGAAAATATTAATAAAATGAATGATTTTAGAATGTTATATATTACAAAACAGATAAAGAAAATATAAAACCTTATTAAATCAATAATCATAAAAGAAAACTACAGCTCTTAAACAACTGATTCAAAAACAGGATCTGGGCTCAATTTTTTTTTTTTTTTTTTTTTGACAGACTCTCGCTCTGTTGCCCAGGCTGGAGTGCAGTGGTACGATCTTGGCTCACTACAACCTCGCCTCCCGGGTTCAAGTGATTCTCCTGCCTCAGCCTCCCGAGCAGCTGGGACTACAGGCGTGTGCCACCACACCCAGCTAATTTTTCTATTTTTAGTAGAGACAGGGTTTCACCGTATGGCCAGGCTGATCTCAAACTCCTGACCTCGTGACCTGCCCGCCTCGGCGTCCCAAAGTGCTGAGATTACAGGTGTGAGCCACCGTGCCTGGCCTCTGGGCTTAATTTTAATGAGGAAACGTTTCAAACTTGTAACATGAAGAAAATTCCATTCCCAAAGGCATAGAAAACAATGAAAACCAATTTTATAATCCTAACTTGAAACTGACACAAAACATAAAAACCACAAAAGTAGAAGCCATAGGAAAATGTAAATATAAACGAACAAATCCTTCTAGCAGGAAATACTCAAGAACATATTAAAAGATAACTGCCTGGCTGGGTGCGGTGGCTCACGCCTATAATCCCAATACTTCGGGAGGCTGAGGTGGGTGGAAAATAAGGTCAGGAGTTTGAGGCCAGCCTGGCCAACATGGCAAAGCCCTGTTTCTACTAAAAATACAAAAATTAGCTGGGTATGGTGGCACGCGGCTGTAATCCCAGCTACTAGGGAGGCTGAGGCAGGAGAATTACTTGAACCCGGGAGGCGGAGGCTGCCGTGAGCTGAGATCACACCACTGCACTACAGCCTGGGTAACAAGAGTGAAACTCCATCTCAGAAAAAAAAAGGCCTACCACTAAGTAGAATTTTTTTCCAGAAAAGTAAAATTTTTTTTTTTTTGAGACAGAGTCTGGCTCTGTCGCCTAGGCTGGAGTGCAGTGGAGCAATCTCGGCTCACTGCAAGCTCCACCTCCCCAGTTCACGCCATTCTCCTGCCTCAGCCTCCTGAGTAGCTGGGACTACAGGCGCCCGCCACTGCGCCCGGCTAATTTTTTGTATTTTTAGTGGAGACGGGGTTTCACCATGTTAGCCAGGCTGGTCTCGAGCTCCTGACCTCGTGATCCGCCCGCCCCGGCCTCCCAAAGTGCTGGAATTACAGGCGTGAGCCACTGTGCCGGGCCCAGAAAAGTAAAATTTTAAAAAATCTTTTTATTTTAAAGTAATTATAGAAAAGAAAAATTGAAAAACTAGTTCAGAGTCGTCCCTTGTGCCCATCACCCAACTTCCCAAACTCCAACAGTCACATCTTATATAATTATGGTACATTATCGAAACCAAGAAACCGACACAGGCACAATCTAATTAACTAAACTACAGACCTTGCTCAGATGTCACCAGTTTGTACATGTACTCATTTTTTGGTATGTCTTTATGCATAGTTCTATGATGTTCTACCATATATAGATTTGCAAAACTACCACCACAATCAAGATAAAGGACTGTTCTGTCACCACAGTGACACTCCCCTGTGCTCCTCCTTTACAGTCACAACCCCCGCCTTTCATTTTTTTATAGTAATTATGTATCATATATTTAAAATATTCTCCCTGTTGAGAAGCATAGAATATGACTTTTAGATCCAAGAACTTACCTACTTGTCTCTTGTTATCATTTCTGAGTTGCTCATTTTCTGGCCTTGAAACTTTGTGTACTTCAGCTACAGAAGAAGACATGCAAAGTGCCAAATCAACTCAGGGTACATCATCAAAAACTTCCATAGTTAGAAATGCAAACAAACAAACCAAAAAACCCAAAACAAAGCCTGTGCAATGCCCAAAAAACTATACCCACACCACCACCACTTTGAGTCAAATTTGAAAGACCAAACATTCTATCATATTCAGTTTAATTTTCTGGGATCATTCACATGAAGTAAATCCTTCTAATGAAAATAAAGTGAGTGGAAAACATTGATCAGTCAATTAAGGAACAGTAAACAGCTAAAGTTCTACCTCGCCTGTGCTCCTGATTCTCTCCTGCCTTTTGGCTGGCAGATGGCAAAGGCCTGGTTGATACAGGACTCCTTCTCCCAACAGCTGCTGGAGCAGGTAAGTGGGCTGAGGCGGTCTGCACTGCTTGTTCCATGGTTGGGCTTTTTCTCAAAGGGTCTAACTGAGGGCTTGAGCGACCTAAAATGTAACCAAAAGATAACAAACTACCCTATTGGGGATTTCAAAATAATCTAGACCCTAAAAAAAATTGTCCAGAGTTTTATTTCTATCAATTCAAACCCTTAGCACAAATTTGAATTAATCCACTTATCAGACCAGATATTAAGAATGGTATCCTTAGTGGGCTTGTCATTAGGTTAAAAATAAAAAATAATAATAATTTAAAAAAAAACTTCAACAGCTTCAAAACAACTCCCTCCCCCTCACAATTTTATCTGTTATTTCTACTTAGTGGAAGAGTTTACATCAAAAAAAAAAAAAAAAATTGCTGCCAGGTACGAGATTCCCTAGAATTATCCTACAAATTATCATGTTGTAGTCAGGTCAAACACAGGCTTTCGCCAATGACAACCATAAGACTATGGTGACTTGTTTTAATCTTTCTTAGTACTTTCTGTAGATGACTAAAACAATACCTTTACATCTATCTACAGGTATTAACTCCATTAAATTTCTATTATAAGAAAGTAAAGGGCCGGGCGCAGTGGCATATGCCTGTAATCCTAGTCCTTTGGGAGGCTGAAGCAGGAGGATCGCTTGAGCCCAGGATTTCAAGACCAGCCTAGGCAACATGGCGAAACCCTGTCTCTACTGAAAATACAAAAATTAGCCAGGCGTGGTGGCGCGTGCCTGTGTTCCCAGCTACTCAGGAGGCTGAGATGGGATAGCTTGAACCCGGGAGGCAGAAGCTGCAGTGAGCCGAGATTGTGCCACTGCACTCTAGCCTAGGTGACAGAGCAAGGCCCTGTCTCATAAATAAATAAATAAATAAATAAATAAATAAATAAAGTAAAAGAACTACAAAGTTAGATAGGTGAAGTTCTTTAATGCTTTAGGGGCTTGGGTAATTAAACATAAAAACTAAAAGGCCAGCAAAAAAACAAACAAACAAAACCAAAAAACAAACAAAAAAAACCCTTCAGATAATTACACAGTAGCCATACTCATTCCTTGCCTTTTAAAAGATCTCTTGGCAAGTTTTTGCTTAATATGGGGTTTGGCTGGGCGCGGTTGCTCACACCTATAATCCCAGCAATTTGGGAGGCTGAGATGGGCAGATCGCTTGAGCTCAGGAGTTCGAGACCAGCCTGAACAACATGGCGAAAGCCTGTCTCTACAAAAAAAATACAAAAATTAGCCAGGTGTGGTGGCACATGCCTGTAACCCCAGCTACTCAGGGGGCTGAAGTGGGTGGATTGCTTGAGCCTGGGAGGCAGAGGTTGTAGTGAGCCGAGATCGGTCCACTGCATCCAGCCTGGGTGACAAAACTAGACTCTGTCTCAAAAAATACAAATATAAAAGAGCCAAAACAAAAAATGGGGTTTGTACTTATACATTATATTTTTCCTTTTATGAGGTCGCCTGGTCACAGCATGAACTGAAGAATGTAACATCGGGTGCTCCCATCATGCTTTCTGTCCTGATAATGTTTGCTGTACATCTCTGCTTAGGCACTCACATCTCATAATTATTCCAAAATATAATGTTTTGCTTAAAAAAAATGCTCATTTCACGTAAAAAAATCCCCCAAATATGCTGCAAATGTTACTGTCCATCTGTGCATATTTGCAGGTGTCAAACAACTGGTGAGTGCTGACAATGCATTATTATGTACCTAGATGATTCAGGGATAATTTATTAGTAATATTTCCCCAATTTATGATTATCTAAAGTATGCACTTACAAATGTGCAATACCATTTCAGCCATTAATGGCAAAGTTAGCCAAATAAATGATCATTTATCAAAACCCAGAAACCGACACAGGCACAATCTACTTAACATTTCAAAATTAAGTTACCACTAATAGAAGCATTACAATTTTTCCACTGGATTATAATGGGAAATCATGGTTTATGTAAGTTTTGGCCTATGAAAAAAACATTTTATAATCACTTATAAAACACATTTTGTTTTTTGTTTTTTAGGGACAGGATAGGGTCTTGTTCTGTTGCTCTGGCTGGAGTGCAGTGGCGCAATCACAGCTCGCTGCAACTTCTAACTCCTGGGACCCAATGATCTTCCTGCCTCAGCCTCTTGAGTAGCTAGGACTATAGATGTGCGCTACCACACCTTGCTAATTTTTTTTATTTCACATGTCTTCCTGAAAAAGCCTACTGCTACAGTTAATTTTATGGTACTACATTAAATCATCTTATAAGTTTATAAAACTTCTTTATCAAGGCTTTTGAGAAAAGATCCTATGGCTCACAAGTACTACAGAAGTACAAGCAATGGGGCAATCGGAGCAAGTACAGAAACATTTGTTGTGTACTTAAAAAGCCTTTTCACTATTAAGGCCTACTAATCATCATGATGCCAGTTTTGTTATAAACAGGGAAATACAGGTGATACTGTGATACTGGATACATTATTAGGAATAAATCCAGAAGTGATTTCTGCATATTATAGACACACTCCCTTGAGCTATCTTCACAATCTTATCACACTTAAAATTCTAGGAATTTTAATTTTGTGAAATTCAGCAATTTTAGTTGATAAAACTTAAATGCAAACTCTTAGGACTTGTCATTTGTCATAACTTTATGTAAATACACCTCTTTCTTTTAATAAACACATACTTCAAAATTTTTAACATTTTAATCTATTTAAAATTTATATATTTTTTGGTGCTCAGTATGAGGGAAAGAATCTAGAGTGACTTTCTCCAAATGATCAGGCAACATTATTAATTGGAACAGACAGCCTTCTCTCCACTAATTTAAAATAATACCTTTATCATCTACTAAATTCTTTTAAGATGAATTCTTGCTCTGTTGCCTAGGCTAGTGTGCAGGGCCGCAATCACAGCTTGCTGCCACCTTAACCTCCTGGGCTCAAGCAATCCTCTAGCTTCAGCCTCTCAAGCTGATAGGCGCACACATCACGCCCAACTAATTTTTAATTTTTTTAGAGACAGGGTCCTGGTATGTTGCCCAGGCTAGTCTCAAATCCCTGGCTTCCATCTTGAACTCGCAAAATGTTAGGGTTTCAGGCATGAACCACTGCACCCAGGATAAATTCTTATTTATACTCGGATCTGTTTCTGCCTGCCTATTGCTTTCTATTCATCTCTTTCTTTTTTCCTGCATTGCTACATTTTATTATCATGTCAGTAAACCCATTACTTTTATTTTTCAAATATGTCCAGCCACACTTCCATGTTTATTTTAAAGATAAACTGTTTTACTAAGTTCTCCTACTATTCTATTTGCATTGATTTTTAATTAATTTGCAATAAATTTGTTAACTATGAGGAGTAAAGTCTTCCCAACATCTTTTTTTTTTGGGGGGGGACAGGGTCTTGGTTCTGTCGCCCAGGCTGGAGTGAGGTAGTGCAGTTAGGGCTCACTGCAGCCTCGGCCTCCTGGGCTCAAGTGATCCTCCTGTCTCAGCCTCTTGAGTAGCTAGGACCACAGGTGTCCACCATCATACTCTGCTTATTTTTAAAATTTTTTGGTAGAGATGAAGTTTCACTACGTTGCTCAGGCTGGTCTCAAACTCGTGGGCTCAAGTGATCATCCTGGCTTTGCCTCCCTAAGTGCTGGTACTGTTCTTGTTCTTCTATCTAGCAATAAGATATGTTTTTTCCATTACATGCAACTTTTATGTCCCTGTCTTACATTATTTATCATAGAAGTTGGTCATATTTCTTAGTATGACCAACTTATTTCTTATTATATATTTTGTATACAATTTCTATTTTGCATTACTGTAATCATCTTTTCTCCTCATTACATAATCAATGGATTAGGCTTTAGGACTATTAAATTTTTTTTTTTTTTAAGATGGAGTCTCGCTCTGTCGCCCAAGCTGGAGTGCAGTAGCGTGATCTCGGCTCACTGCAACCTCTGCCTCCCGGGTTCTCCCACCTCAGCCTCCTGAGTAGCTGGGATTACAGGTGCACGCCACCATGCCCGGCTAATTTTTGTATTTTTAGTAGAGATGGGGTTTCACCATGTTGGTTGGCCAGGCTGGTCTCGAACCCCTGACCTCAGGCGATCCGCCTGCCTTGGCCTCCCAAAGTGCTGGGATTACAGGCATGAGCCATCGTGCCCGGCCAGAACTATTGACTTTTGTATATTTAATTTACATTTTGCCTGTGCCTAATTTAAGTTCCTTATTAGTTCTCATTCTTCATGAATAATGCTAATTTCAATATTTATGCTTCTTTTTCATGTGTTCCTGATTTAACTAAAAATTCCAGAATAGGCCGGGCACTGTGGCTCATGCCTATAATCCCAGCACTTTGGGAGGCCAAGGTGGGTGGATCACTTGAGCCCAGGAGTTCCAGACCAGCCTTGGCAACATGGCGAAACCCCGTCCCTACAAAACTAGCTGGTGGTGCTTGCTTGTGATCTCAGCTAATTGGGAGGATGGCCTGAGCTCAGGAGGTAGAGGCTGCAGTGAGCCATGATCACACCACTGCATTCCAGTCTGGGAGACAGAGCAGGACCCTATCTCAAAAAACAAACAAACAATCTTTAGAATGTTTAAAAATTAAGCAAGTAGGCTGGACGCAGTGGCTCACATCTACAATCCCAGCACTTTGGGAGGCCAAGGCAGGTGGATCACTTGAGGTCAGGAGTTTGAGACCAGCCTGGCCAACATCACGAAACCACATCTCTACCAAAAATACAAAAAAATGAGCTGGGCGTGGTGGCACGTGCCTGTAATCCCAGCTATTTGGGAGGGTGAGGCAGGAGAATCGCTTGAACCTGGGAGGTGGAGGTTGCAGTGAGCCGAGATTGTGCCACTGCACTCCAGTCTGGGTGACAGAGCAAGACTCCATCTTAAAAGAAAAAAAAAAAGAAAAAAATTAAGCTAATCAATATGAGTAACAGTAAGAACTATTTCAAAATATCTTAAGTGAAATACATAAGATTATGTTTAGCATTGAATTTTTACCCTTAATAGCTTTTTAAAATACTGTCTTGTGACTATAGGTCTTTCTGAAATGACTCAACATTGTTTTACTTAAAAACAAAACAAAACAAAAACCATTCATATAAAGCAATGAGCCAAAAATACCCATTTCTAAAGTGCATAAAAATAGATAAGGAAAAGCCGAGCATGGTGGCACAAGGCTGTAGCCCCAGCTACTGGGGAAGCTAAAGTGGGAGGCTTGTTTGGGGCCAGGTGTCCAAGGCTGCAGTGCACTATGATCACATCTGTAAATAGCCACTGCATTTCAGTTTGGGCAGCATAGTGAGACCTATCTTTAAAAAAAAAAAAAAAGCCAGGCCCAATGGCTCACGCCTGTAATCCCAACATCCCAACACTTTGGGGAGGCCAAGGCAAATGGATCGCTTGAGCCCAGGAGTTCGAGACCAGCCTGGGCAATACAGGGAGACCTCATCTCTAATAAGTAAATAAAAGAAAGAAAAAGATTAAGAAAAAAGGAAGAAACAAAGATAAGAATAAAAGGTATGGATAACCATTTAAAATTATGAGACTGGCTGGTTGAAGAGCAGAATCTTAAGAAATAAAACAATCCTTTAAGAAGCTTATTAAAATATAAATCCTCAGGCTCCAGGGATTCTGATGTATAAGTCTCAGGATTTAAATTTTTAAGAAGCACCCCAGATGATTCAGTTGTGGGTAGCCTACACTGAGAACCACTACTCTCCATCCTGTGAGGATGTTAGGGAAAATGTTAACAGCATAATACAGTTTTTTTCAGATGATATTTCCAATTCATCTTGGATAGCTCAACTTTAATGGTGAGTATGAGCCTAATTTGATATATTTAAGTGTTACATACAAGTTATATAATTGCTTTGCAAAAAAAGTCCAACTTAGAGAATGCTCAGCATTTCAGTTTCATGATCTAAGAACTGTAATAAGTCTAAATAGTGAGAGTCATTCAATAATATATTCATTGCAATACAGCGATTTGGAGAAAAATTTTAAAAGAGCCAAATAGAAATTATACACGCGATTTACAAGCTGCAAAAGCTCTTACATTCAGAAAGACAAAAACCACTATAAAAGTTTAGAATGGAAATATTTTAGGGATGAGATAGCTTACCTTGAGATAACTGTGTTTTTAGAGATCTTGTATCCTGTGTAAAGGCAGAACCAACCGCACTACTTTGGGGTAAGGTACCACTGTTTGATGTTTCTGTTCCAAAGGATGTCAAAGAGCTTCCAGCTTAAAGAGATGTTTTTAAATGATAAAAAAATTTTAAAAAATGTTTGACATTATTCAATGATATAAAGTAATGCAGCATTTTAATGATGGTAATTGTCTACCTCTCCCCCCAGCATCTGTACAAATTAATAATCTTGGAAATTAAAGTGTACTGAATAGTTTGGGAATTTTATGGCAATATGGAGGGCAGGGGAAGGGGGAGCCAATATACTGTCCACTATCCTTGGATGCAAGCAATGTTTATAACACATGGAGTGCTGTCCTAGGCAGTTATGCAGATGGGACAGCAAGGACCCATACCAACTAGAGAAGTAGCAGAAATGGTACATTCAACACCAACATTAAGGTTCAGTGATTCTAATACTAAGTATCTGGACAAACAGCCAAATCAGCAGACAGGTTTACGAGGAGCTTTTTTAGCATTTCCAAGGCAATAGACAATGGACTCTGGTTTCAATGCTTCCCCTTAAGATAGGACTGTGAGGCTGCATTCTGCCTAAAGCAGCTGCAAAAAGTTCTGGCAATATGAGTAAAAAGGTCCCTAGAAAGGGCCCAATTCTCTGCCATACTAGGTTATATCAAATTTCTTCTCTAAGTTTCTACAGTACTTAGGGATCATTCACTTTTGATATACTGTGCTCTTTCCTTGGTATTTCATCTAAGCAGGTTTTCACTATATTTCAACAGTACCTCCCCCTTCCACAACCTCTAAATCCAACCTAAAGATGGTAGTCAGAGTGATTCTTTACAAAATATAAATGTAATAACATTATCGTGCTTTAGACCTTCTGGTGGCTTCCACTGTCCTCAAGATAAAAGTTCAAACTATTCACTTCAGTTAATAAAACCTACCTCTTCTCTCAACATTTTCTATATTTTCACCAGTCTAGCCCACAGCAGAAGTTTATCCTTCTGCTCCTAAAACACATGAAGATTACAATCATGCCCCTTGCAATTTGCTCATTTTCAGGTTAGTCAACTCCAGTCCCTTCAACCATTACTCACTTCACATGGTCTTTAGGACACTCTCCCCTTCCTTTCTTGGACTCCTAATTTAATGAATTCTATTTGTTCTTATCCCTCTTAAAATGTGGCTTTAGGGCCGGGCGCAGTGGCTCACACCTGTAATCCCAGCATTTTGGGAGGCCGAGGTGGGCAGATCACGAGATCAGGAGTTCAAGACTGGCCTGACCAGTATGATGAAACCTCGTCTCTACAAAAATTCAAAAATTAGCTGGGCGTGGTGGCGCATGCCTGCAGTCCCAGCTACTCAGGAGGCTGAGGTAGGAAAATTGCTTGAACCTGGGAGGTGGAGGTTGCAATGAGCCAATATTGGGCCACTGTGCTCCAGCCTGGGTGACAGAGTGAGACTCTGTCTCAAAAAAAAAAAAAAAAATGTGGCTTCAGAAAGCAGCACAGTATCTTAGACAAGGGGAGCCACTGGGACTCCCTTGGAGGTGCAGTCCAGTCTGGCTGCAGCTCCAGTAAGCTCAGGAGAAGCCTAATACAACTTCCCACAATATCCCGGTAATGTGGGGACTAGCGCTTTCAAGAATTCTGTGGGGAGTAGAACCCATCCAGTTATTTCTAGTATTCCTGGGTGATGACCAAGACATCAGCCACTTTGATGTATATTTGCATCTCCAGGCTGCTCTGTGTTTCCTCACCTGGCTTGGCCTCCCATTGCTTGTCCTCTGGATTACGCATTCAATGGTTAGAGCAAATCTCTTCCGTGAGTTCCTGATCGTGCCACACCCCCCTCGCTCTACTCCAATTCTACTACCAATTTATGTCTATAATCTATTCCAAATTATTTTTAATTTATAGTTTAAGCCAGGGGTCAAGTTTTATTTTTTCCACAGATAAACAGCTGCTGCAACACCTCTTGTTAAAACAATGTCTTTTCTCTCCATTGAACTGTCTTGGTACTCTGTTTTAAGTATCTGAGTGGGTCTATTTCTGGATTCTCTATTCTTTATTCCTGGTCTGTTAACGTGGTAAGTTACAACTGATTTTCAAATGTTGCAGCTTCGCAGTCCTGAGATAAATCTTTGTCATCATATACAATCCTTCTTCTGAAGTGCTGGCTTCTACATCTAATAAACATTACTACGTTTATGTTCATGGGGGACAATGATCTATAATTTTCTTGTAACGATCCAGTCACAGTTGGTATTTCAGTTATTTGGCCTTGGTTATAGGGTCAGCAAATATTTCCTCTTCCTGTATTCTCTGAATTTTCTTTTTTTCTTTTTGAGATGGAGTCTTGCTCTGTCGTCAGGCTGGAGTGCAGTGGCGCGATCTCAGCTAACTGTAACCTCCGCCTCCTGGGCTCAAGCGATTCTCCTGCCTCAGCCTCCCGAGCAGCTGGGACTACAGGCGCGCGCCACCATGCCCAACTAATTTTTTTTTTTTTGTATTTTTAGTAGAGACAGGGTTTCACCATGTTGGCTGGGCTGGTCTCGATCTCCTGACCTCGTGATCTGCCCGCCTCGGCCTCCCAAAGTGCTGGGATTACAGGTTTGAGCCACCGTACCCAGTCTTTTTTTACTTTTTAAGAGACAGGGTTTTGCTCTGTTGCCTTGGCTGGAGTGCAGTGGCACAATCATGGCTCACTGCAGCCTTGAACTCCTGGGCTCAAGAGATCCTTCTGCATCAGCCTCCTGAGTTACTGGGACTACAGGCATGCATCATGGTGCATAGCTATCTGAAAGAGTTTGTGTAAGATTAGTGAAAATTATTTCTTCCCTAAATGTTTGGTAGAATGTAACAGTAAAAACAGTCTAGAATTTTCTTTCTGGGTGATTTTAAATTACTGTTTCAATTTCATTAGAAGATATAGAGATATTGAGATTTTATTTCCTCTTGTGTTGGTTTGCTATTTTTCAAGAAATTTGCCCACTTCATCCAAACTATCACATTTGTTGACATTCATATATTCCCATATTATTCTTTTAAGGTCTATACTGACGTCTACTCTTTCATTCCTGGTATTGGCAACTTGCTTGGTTGTTCTTTCTTTCCTTAATCAGTTTTGTTAGGGACTTATCAATCTTATAAAATAAAAATAAAAAATAAAAAAACCCACCCAAAACAAACTCTTGACTTTGCTGATAATATAATCTATTTCTACTTCATTGATTTCTGCTCTTATCTTTTTATTTTCTTCCCCCTCTACTACTTTTGGAATAATTTTCTTTCATTTTTTTTCCTAGCTGTCCCCTGGCGTCCTCACCAACTTTTCTTAGAGACATGGTCTCACTCTGTCACCCAGGCTAGAAGGCAGTGGCACAATCATAGTTCACTGCAACCTTGAACTGCTGGGCTCAAGGAATCCTCCCACTTCAGCCTCCCAAGCAGTTAGGACTAAGGGCATTCACCACCATGCCCAGCTAACCATTTTTCCTAGTATTTTTTTTTTTTTTTTTTTTTTTTTTTTTTGTGAGATGGAGTCTTGTTCTGTCGCCCACGCTGGAGTTCAATGGTGTGATCTCGGCTCACTGCAACCTCCGCCTCCCGGGTTCAAGCGTTTCTCCTGCCTCAGCCTCCTGAGTAGCTGGGATTACAGGCACCTGCCATCATACCTGGCTAATTTTTGTATTTTTGTAGAGATGGGGTTTCACCATGTTGGCCAGGCTGGTCTCGAACTCCTGACCTCAGGTAATCTGCCCGCCTTGACCTCCCAAAGTGCTGGGATTACAGGTGGGAGACACCACACCTGGCCCTTTCCTAGCTTCTTAAACTGGTAGCTTAAAGCACTGATTTTAAAAATTCTTATTTTCTTTTCCTTTTTATTTGAGACAAAGTCTTGCCCTGTAACCCAGGCTGGAGTGTAGTGACGTCATCTTGGCTCACTGCAACCTCTGCCTCCCCAGCTCAAGTGATTCTCCTGCCTCCGCCTCCCAAATAGCTGGGACTACAGGCGCATGCCAAGACGCCTGAGTAATTTTTGTATTTTTAATAGAGACGAGTTTTTATCACATTGACCAGGCTGGTCTTGAACTCCTGACCTCAAGCGATCTGCCCATCTCAGCCTCCCAAAGTGCTGGGATCATAGGCATGAGCCATTGCGCCCAGCCGAAAATTCTTGTTTTCTAATACATGTATTTAAAGCTATGAAAATTTTTCTAAACACTGTTTTAGCTACACCCACAAACTTTCTGGTCATTAAATTGAAAATAAAATTTTTTTAATTTAATTTTTTCTTTTTAGAGAAAAGGTCTAGCTCTGTCGCCTTTCCTGGAGTGCAGCAGCAGAATCACAGCTCACTGCAGTCTTGAATTCCTGGGCTCAATCAAGTCTCCCACCCCAGCCTCCTGAGTGCTAGGACTACAGGTATGTACAACCACACCCAGCTACTTAAATTTTTTTTTTTTTTTTGCAGAGACAAGGTCTCCCTATGTTCCCCAGGCTGGTCTTGAACTCCTGGCCTCAAGTGATCCTCCCACCTTGGCCACCACCCAAAGTGCTGGGATTACAGGTGTATGCTATCACATCTGGTCTAGATTTAAAATATTCTCTAATTTCCCTTGTAAATTCTCCTCTGATCCATTAGTGATTAACAAGTTTACTTGATACCAAATTATCTGGGGATTTTTCAAGTTAACTTTATTAATTTCAAGTTTATTTTGTGGTTTAACAATATACCATGTATGATTTTATTCCTTTTGGAATTTAGTGTGACTTATTTTATGGTCCAGCATTTGGTCTATATTGTTGAGCAGTTCATGTCTACTTAAAACAATATTCTGCAATTGTTGGGTATACTGTTTTATAAAAGTTACACATTTAGGACTGTTGTATCTTCTTGATGAACTGATCCTTATCTTTACGAAGAACGCCCCCCCAACCTTTACCTCTGGAAGAAATCCTGATCTTTAAGCTCCTTTGTCTGATATTAACGTATGCTACACACTTTTCTTGTTATTGCTGTTTGTATGGTATACCTTTTTCTATTCTTTCACTTTCAGTGCATTTCTTATAAACATAATATAGTTGGGCCTTGTCTTTTTTTTTTTTTTTTTAAATTCAGTCTGACACTCTCTGCCTTTTAACTGGAATGTTTAATTCCTTCACATTTTACCAAAGTAGATCTTTAACAATCTTTCTTTCTTTTTTTTTTTTTTGAGACAGGGTCTCGCTCTGTTGCTCAGGCTGGAGTACAGTGGCATGATTTCAACTCACTGCAACCTTCATCTCCTGGGTTCCAGGGATTCTCCTGCCTCAGCCTCCTGAGTAGCTGGGATTACAGGCGCACGCCACCAAGCCCGGCTCATTTTTTTTGTATTTTTAGTAGAGACAGGGTTTCACTGTGTTGGCCAGGCTGATCCTGAACTCCTGACCTCAAATGATTCACTCGTCTCAGCCTCCCAAAGTGCTGGGATTACAGGCGTGAGCCACTGTGCCTGGTCTGATCTTTAATAATCCTTAGTTTAACATCCATAATGGTTGAAACACCCCCCTGGCTTTATGCTAACTGTAAAGTTCGTAAGCATCTCTTCAAGGCTTCATCACTCAGTGATTAAAAATTAGTCTCTACAAAACACTGGAGACCTAAGAGAACCATCCTCCAATATGGTTTGGCTATTTAATCAACTAAAATGTACCCACTGATGGTCTATTCAGCCAATACTCCTCCATCTGGCACATAAGATTATGAGACTTAAACAATCAACTGGAGTAAATATAACAGAAAAAACATCTAATTGCTCCATGTTTCTTCACTGTAATCCTTGCTATAGAATTACTTTAGATAGCTGGTCAATCTATACCTTTCACTGTTTCTATGAATCCTTTTTCTAACTGCAGCAGTAAGCTCTTGCTACTGTTCAATGGTAACACAGGGAAATACTGTTTTGATGCTTCATTTATTGTGAGGTGTTTAATTTTTCCAAGAGTTCAGAAATTAAGGCCAGTAATGATCTAATCTCTTACACATAAGAATTATTTTTGCATCAGTTTTAAGAAAAGTCCGCCAGGCGCGGTGGCTCACGCCTGTAATCCTAGCACTTTGGGAGGCCGAGGCGGGCGGATCACGAGGTCAGGAGATCGAGACCATCCTGGCTAACACGGTGAAACCCCGTCTCTACTAAAAAAAATACAAAAAATTACCCGGGCGTGGTGGCGGGCGTCTGTAGTCCCAGCTACTAGGGAGGCTGAGGCAGGAGAATGGCGTGAACCAGGGAGGTGGAGCTTGCAGTGAGCGGAGATGCGCCACTGCACTCCAGCCTGGGCAGCAACAGAGTGAGTCCTTTAATTCTACCTGGTATATTATTCTTCTCAATGTATGAGAGTATATATTCTTCACATACTTGCCAAGAGTATGCATATAATCAAGCTTTTGAGTTTTTGCCAAACTGATAGTGAGAAATGGTGTCTCAGTGTAGATTTAATTTGTATGTTTTTCACTATAAGCAAGATTTTTTTTTTTTTTTTTGAGACACAGTCTGGCTCTGTTTCCCAAGCTGGAGTGCAGTGGCGTGCTCTTGGTTCATTGCAACCTCTACCTCTCAGGCTCAAGCAATCCCCCCACCTCAGCCTCTGGAGCAGCTGGGATTACAGGAGTGTGCCACCATGCTTGCCTAATTTTTTTTTTTTTGTAGAGCCAGGGTTTAGCTATGTTGCCCAGGCTGGTCTCCAACTCCTGAGCTCAAGCAATCCTCCTGCCATGGCCTCCCAAAGTGCTAACGTCTTTGTACTCCAGGCTGGGCAGCAGAGCAGGACTCAGTCTCAAAAACAAAACAAAACAAAACAAAACAAAAACCAAACCAACCAACCAAATGGAAAAAAAAAAAAAAAAAAACTTACTAAAAAGCAATAATAAGGGTGGGCATGGTGGTTCCCAACACTTTGGGAGGCGGAGGCAGGCAGACTGAACCCAGGAGTTCGAGATCAGCCTGGATAACATGCTGAGATGCTGTGTTTACCAAAAATACAAAAATTAGCTGGGCATGATGGCACATGCCTGTAGTCCCAGCTACTAGGGAGGTTGAGATGGGAGGACTGCTTGAGCCCAGGAGGTCTAGGCTGCAGCGACCTGTGGTTGTGCCACTGTACTCCAGCCTGGATGACAGAAAGAGACCCTGTCTCAAAAAATAAATAAATAAAAATAAAAAGCAATAGTAATAACACACGAAAACGTAAATATATAAAAATTTTCTCATCAAATAGCAATACTGTGATCCAGATTCATTTAAATTTCCTTTTAAAATCAGAATACTAGGAACCAAAAATGAAAAGAGGCCTAGCTTAAAATGTGGTTTACTTTGTGCCAACAAAAGCTAAATTTGGCTGGGCATGGTGGCTCACGCCTGTAATCCCAGCACTTTGGGAGGCTGAGGCGGGCGGATCAAGAGGTCAGGAGTTTGAGACCAGCCTGACCAACATGGTGAAACCCTGTCTCTACTAAAAATACAAAAATTAGCTGGGCGTGGTGGCACATGCTTGTAACCGCAGCTACTCAGGAGGCTGAGGCAGGAGACTCGCTTGAACCCGGGAGGAGGGGGCTGCAGTGAGCTGAGATCGCACCACTGCACTCTAGCCTGGGTGACAGAGCAAGACGCCATCTCAAAAAACAAGCTAAATTTAAGTTAATTCCTTTTCTGAAAAACATCTGTCACCTTGACCAATGCCACAGCTTTCCTCTTCCTCATTTGGTAACTTCTAACACTAGTTTTCTAATTAGCCACTCCACAAATTATCCTAACCAATATGGAAATCAATTAATCAAAAATAATCTGACCCTGCAAAAATTACTCTACTGACATGGAAAATGCCAGTAAAATCTTCTACTTTTGTGACACCCAAGTAATAAACCAACAACCCACAATAATATTAAAATTAGATTAAAATATTTATAAAAGCATTTCACAACCACAAAATACTCTGATTAAAAAGTAAACCTTGAAGAATGGCAGAAGCAATAGTTACTATATAGATACTACGTGCTTGATCCTGTTCAAATTTTTTAACATAATTAGTTACATAAACTTCATGGTAACATAAGAAGTATAATGATGATCTCAAAGTCAGTTAACTATTTAATTTAGTCAAAGGAGCCTCAAAAAGGATAATACAATTTGCAATCATTCCTTACTTGAATCCCCAGGAAAGGATTCTAAGTTACAGTTAACATACAGTATATCTTGATTTAACATGAATAAATAACATTGATCTTACTACTGGATTTGGAAATTTATGGACCAAAGTTACACTATTTCACCTAAAGTAAGTCTAAAAGGAATTAATTTTTAATTATGAAAAATGTCAAACCTATGTTAAAATTGAAGGAGTACACAGAATATCAATATATTCCTCACCTAGACTCATCAACTGTTAACATCTAACCAAACCCACTCTGTTTCTCCATCTTTATACCTTAATATACACATTTTTCTTTTGTTTAGAGAGGCTAAAATCAATTTGGCCCTTTTACTTTTAAATACTTCAAAACCACCTCCCCCAAACAAAAACACTTTCCCATATGATTAACCAGAAAATTAACAATAATAACAAAATCCAACAATTAGTCCATACTCAAAAGTTCCTTAGTAGTCCCTAAAATGTTCTTCACACCAACTTTTTAAGTTTTCTTTTTCTCCCCTGCAGGAAACAAACACGCCAACTTTTTAAAAGCCCAGTATTCGATTCTATATTACATTTGGATGTTATGTCTCTTCAGTCTTTGCCAGCCTAAAGCAGTTCTGCTGCCTCTCTCCATTCTTTGTAATATTGAATCTTTTGAAGAGTGTGGATAACTGTCTCGCAAAACAACCCACCTTCTGGATATATAAGCCCATTTCTTCAAAATTAGATTCTGTATTTTCAGCAAGAACCCCACAAAGGTGATATTATGTTTTGCCCCCCACCCCAATCATCACAACAGGAGACACATAATTGTTCATGGCAATGCTAAACTTGAGCACTCAACGAAGTTGGTAACCACCAGATGTCTGTGTTACAAGGGTACATTTTTCCCCCTTTGTAAATTGTGGGATGATACTTTAAGACCACCTTAATATGCTGTCCTAACACCTTTCACCCAATGACTTCAGCATCTAATGATAATCCTCGCTAATTATTATACTGAGATTAGAAAATGGCAATTTTCTTTATCTACCACTGCTTCTACTTATTAGCAGGCATTTTTATATGAAAAAAGTATGTCTTTTCCTTTGTTTTTCAATGGGCCCTTGTTCCTTTTAGTGGGGAGTGGTATTTAGAAACTAAGAGCTGAGTCTACATGTGTCCCTTGCTACGGGGTTTCCATTGTTTCTAGGTCCTTTCTACGAACAGAGCTAGGAAATAACCAGTTTTTAAAAAATGAGTCCATACACATACCATCTATTTACATTCAGCACCACAGGGTTCTTTCTCACCTTTCCCATTCCATATTTATATCTTCCGTCTCCATGGTAAAAACACTATTTCCCAACATAAGTATTTTATTCATTTGCCCTTTCCTATAATACATACAAAACAGTTTAAGAATTAACACCTGGCTGGGTGCAGTGGCTCACACCTGTAATCCCAACACTTTTGGAGGCCAAGATGGGCGGATCACTCAAGGTCACAAGTTTGAGACCAGCCTGGAAAATATGGGGAAACCCTGTCTCCACAAAAAATACAAAAGAAAAATCTAGCCGGGAGTGGTGGTGCATGCCTATAATCCCAGCTACTCGGGAGGTTGAGGTGGGAGGATGGCTTGAGCCTGGGAGGCGGAGGTTGCAATGAGCCGGGATCGTGCCACTGCACTCCAGCCTGGGTGAGAGCCAGATCTTATCTCAAAATAAATAAATAAATAAATAAATAATAACACCAATAATACAAATCAAAGTCAAGTTTTCTTAGTAGTTCTATTTGTTGTTAGAATATATCCTACTAAGAGTGTAAAAGTTACCTGAATTATTTTTTCCTCTGTGTGGTTTTTTTTGTTGTTTTATTGAGACGGAGTCTCACTCTGTCGCCCAGGCTGGAGTGCAGTGGTACGATCTTGGCTCACCGCAAGCTCCGCCTCCTGGGTTCACGCCATGCTCCTGCCTCAGCCTCCCGAGTAGCTGGAACTACAGGCGCCCACCACCACGCCCGGCTAATTTTTTTGTATTTTTAGTAGAGACGGAGTTTCACCGTGTTAGCCAGGATGGTCTCGATCTCCTGACCTCGTGATCCACACGCCTTGGCCTCCCAAAGTGCTGGGATTACAGGCGTAAGCCACCGCACCCAGCCCTCTGTGTGGTTATATTATCAATTTAATATGTAATAGCATCTGTGGTTTCTGTTTATATTCATTCAGTTTTATTTATTTATTTATTTTTAGACGGAGTTTTGCTGTTGTGGCCTAGACTGGAGTGCAATGGCACGATCTCAGCTCACTGCAACCTCTGCCTCACAGGTTCAAGCGATTCTCCTACCTCAGCCTCCCTAGTAGCCGGGATTACAGGCATGCACCACCACCACGTCCAGCTAATTTTGTATTTTTAGTAGAGATGGGGTTTCTCCATGTTGGTCAGGCTGGTCTTGAACTCCTGACTTCAGGTGATCCGCCCACAGCCTCCCAAAGTGCTGGGATTACAGGCGTGAGCCACCGCGCCCAGCTCATTCAGTTTTAGTTTGCTTTTTTTTTGCCATTCTTTGTTATTTTGTGAATAAGTAAAACATTTAAATACTTAAGTCACATCTGTATAAAAAGTATATTCACAGGAAGGAATTTAACAATTTTAATAAAACTTATTAGCATATCAATGAGTTTCAAGATACACCTGAAACTAAATTTGTGGTGCAGTGAAACAGTAAACTGATAATTATTTCAATGAAATTTTAAAAGATTAGGGGCAAAAGCTTGAGATTTAAAGCTGTTTTTTTTTTTTTACACTTGAGCTTAGCCAAAAGGCTGAGAAGCGATTTTTTTTTAAAAGCTGTTCTTTACCATGGTTTAAACGCTAAAATGCATAGCTATAAAAACAAAACACTGAGCTAATCTGATTACATCCAGCTTTTGCACTCAATAGCCCTTGACCCTCCAGTCATAAGCAAGCCTGTCATTCGCCCAGCCCTGCTATACATTCTCATTATAGTTTCGTTTCAAATCCAGTGTTACAGAAACAAAACACCAAGCCCTCAATCATGCTATGCGTATCTTTATGTGTGCATGTCTTATGTATGTTTAAAATAAACATTTTTAAATGTTTTAGGCCGGGCTTGGTGGCTCACGCCTGTAATCCCAGCACTTCGGGAGGCTGAGGTGGGTGGATCACTTGAGGTCAGGAGTTCGAGACCAGCTTGGCCAACATGGTGAAACCCCATCTCTACTAAAAATACAAAAAAATTGGCTGGGAGTGGTGGCGCACACCTGTAATCCCAGCTACTCAGGAGGCTGAGGCAGGAGCACTGCTTAAGCCTGGGAGGTGGAGGTTGCAGTGAGCGGAGATCATGCCACTGCACTCTAGCCTGGGCAACAGAGCAAGACTCTGCCTCAGAAAAAAAAAAAAAAAAAAAAAAAGAAAAAGAAATTAAAAAGAAAAATTTATTAATTAAAATCCAGGCCAGGCGCAGTGGCTCACACCTGTAATCCTAGCACTTTGGGAGGCCGAAGCAGGTGGATCACCTGAGGTCAGGAGTTCAAGACCTGCCTGGCCAACACAGTGAAACTCCACCTCTACTGAAAATACAAAAATTAGCTGGGTGTGGTGATGCATATCGTAATCTCAGCTATCTGGGAGGCTGAGGCACGAGAATTGCTTAAACCCACGAGGTGGAAGTTGTAGTGAGCCAAGATAGTGCCACTGGACTCCAGCCTGAGTGACAGAGTGAGACTTTGTCTTTAAAAAAAACAAAACAAAACCAATTACCAATAAGATTTGGTAGATATTGGATATACCTAGTATATCCAATTTGGTAGATTTGGTAGATATTGGATATACCTAGTATATCCATTTTTTTTTTACCTAGTAAAAAAAAATGTTACTCTGTGAAAGCTGACTTTTAAAAACCCACTAATATCAATAAAGGCTTTAAGATATCATCAAAATGTGTTCTGAATACCATAAAACAAAGTTACAAAAGGAACATCAAACAACATTTCTAATAGTTGGTGTTGAGTTTCTATACCTTTGTGGTAAAGAAAGGAAGAATACAAAAACAAAAAAAGAAAAGAAAAAGAAAACATACCAACACCAACAGCACCAAACTGCTGCCCAACTAAGGAACTCGGACTGAACTGACTGTATGTGGGCATCCTGCCGAAAGGTCCATAAGAACCCATGGACTGGAATGAAGAAGTCGATGAGCCTAGTGAGGACTGAAGGAAAATCATGAGTTATGTTTCCAAGCTCTAAGCAACATGTATATAACGAAAAAAAAAATTCCAGATTTTTACTTTTAAGAAAACTATTAAATTATAACTACTAGATATAAAATGAATTACAATATGCACTTAATATTAAAATAGCCAAACAACCTTTTGATTTCAGTATCTGTCTATAATGTGCCAATTATACTCAATGTGACTTACAAATACTTTTTTCTACAATAAACTCCCCATTTGAATTAAGAGTTTTATAGATTGAGGAAAGAATTAAAGTTACTTAAGTAAAGTAACTTTGCTTAAAGAAAAATATGAGAAAAATCACACTTAGTAATAATGAGTTTTAGTCTGATGTTGATATAAATCTCACGTATGATTTTACTCTTATTTTCAATCATTTGAGGCCTACTATTAAATTCACAGACGTAGAAACAAACATATCCCACATAAAACCATTTACATTTTTACTTATAGTTACATTAAGCTGAGGAACATTTTATAAAAACTTTAACTTAAACCTAAAGCATATAAAATATATAACATATATTAATACATGTATACTTCATATATTATCTTACTATAAACTGTTTCATAATATAAACATGAAGTGTATTAAAGGCTACCAGGACATACACTCACTGATGGCAGGACCTTTTCTGTGTGTTCACCACTAGTGTTAAGCACATGCCAGATACTCTGTAAATACTACTGAATGAATGAATAAGGAGATCAAGTAGAAGTTTATGATGATTGGAAGAAGTTATTCAACACCATTTTCATATGCGCTCTCTTAGTTTTTCTCCTTCCATAAAACCGATTACTCAAATAACTGGT
Source organism: Homo sapiens (assembly GCF_000001405.40). NCBI lineage: Eukaryota > Metazoa > Chordata > Mammalia > Primates > Hominidae > Homo > Homo sapiens. The sequence goes on along the minus strand of NW_003315963.1, from coordinate 43,534 downwards.
TTCCTGGAGAATTATCAAAAGCCATATAAAAGAGACAGTAAGGTAACTCCAGTGTTTGGTGTAGGGAGCTATCTCTATTAAGAATGTGTCTCTTCCTTCTCCATTTAAAGAGATTCACATTTCCACTTCAGGCTTCCTTTCACCAAAATAAGACTTAACAAGGGTAGGGGTAGATGAGAGTAGAGAATTTCTCCAGCTTATGCTGCAACAAAATTTACAATTCCTTATTAAAAAGCTTAAATTGGGAGATTTAAGAGCTGATCTAAATATGTTAAAATACATTGATGTTTGTGTTTTCTTATTATATAACATTGCAGGCCAGGCACAGTGGCTCATGCCTGTAATCCCAGCACTTTGGGAGGCTGAGGTGGGCGGATCACCTGAGGTCAGTAGTTTGAGACCAGGCTGGCCAACATGGTGAAACCTCATCTCTACTAAAAATACAAGAATTAGCCGGGTGTGGTGGTGCATGCCTGTAATCCCAGCTACTCAGGAGGCTGAGGCAGAAGAATCACTTGAACCTGGGAGGCGGAGGTTGTAGTGAGCCGAGTTCACGCCACTGTACTCCAACGACTCTGTCAAAAAAAAAAAAAAAGAAAAAGAAAAACAAAACAAAAACCAACACTGCATATTATAACATATGCAGAACAATGTGATTTTGCTTTTTTTTCCCCATTAAGCCTAATAATCTTACCTAAGAGTAGCTGTTATTGCCTTGGTTTGCAATATAAACCATATCTCAATAGCATGGTAGCACGGATCCTAGATTCTGAAGCAGGCTGCCTGGATCTGTTCAAATTGTGGCTCCATCTGAACTTCCTCACTTGTTAAAAGTGAGAATAATTATAGTACCAACCTCAGAGGGTATCTTATATGCACAGCACTTCTACAGAGTAGCCTTCAATGTTAGCTATGGTAATTGTTGTTGAAATTAGAAAATATTTCATAATAAATTCCTCAGCTGTTTCTTACCTTAGTTCTAATTTATGATACAAAGAGAAAAACCTAGATGAGAACATTATCCAGTAATTTCAGGTATCCCAGTAACTTGGAAATGATAAGCTACATGAACATTCAACTAGAGAGAAAAAAGCCAAGGCTAACCCTGTGCGGAGTTTACCTGTACTCCAAGACAAATTTACCATCAGTTACCTGAACAATAGCTGGGTCTTGAGGCAAAGAACACTGTGGTTTTGGTGGCTCACAAACAGTAAGGTCTTTAATGTCACTCCCACGGAATATAATGTATTCAAAGACTTCATCTCGAGGTGGTATTGGACGATCTGTCGGTCTGTCTTCTGTACCAAAGGATCGAACTGGCAAGAAAACAAAGGATATGAGATGTGTGACTACTCATCACATTCAGGTAGTACCCCAGATTCTAAATGTTGTATTTCAAGTACTAAGCAGTAGTTCTGAAATGTCTGAGAAAGTATTCATTAATCTATAGCTAAAAAAGTTTTTTTAAAGAGGAAAATAGAGTGGCTTTTGCCCGAAGTTAAATATATGCAATATAAAAGACTATCTGTATTATGAGGTTGTGTTCCTCTTATATTTTTATTTATTTGTATCTTTAGTGGTTGTAGTGGGGTGTTAAAATGTCCTTTCATTATTTATTTATTGATGAGACTGGGTCTCTGTCCCCTAGGCTGGAGTGCAGTGGTGTGGTCATGGCTTCCTGCAGCCTCAGCTTCCCGGGCTCAGGCGATCCTTCTATCTCAACCTCCCACGTAGCTGGGACCACAGGCATGTGCCACTAAGCCCAGCTAACTTTTTTTATTTTTTAGTAGAGATGAGGTCTTGCTATTTTGCACAGGCTGGTCTTGAACTCCTGGCCTCAAGTGATCTTCCTGCTTTAGCCTCTCAATGTGCTGGGATGAAAGGCCTAAGCCACTGTGCCTGGCTCACGGTTAACTTATTTTTAATGTCCTCATTCGACAAAATAAAAATTAGCAACCCATGTCTTTCTTGGGGAAGGAGTGGGAGACAAAGATTCCTCCAGTCTACAAAATCTCAAAGTTTGGGTATTGACCTTTGGGACACAGAGAGCAATGAAGGTATTAATAACATTTACCTTGCTGAGCAGTAAGTCCTCTAGAAGCCAAGTCAAGCAGCTGCCAGCTACTCAGCCCCATGGGACAGCTTGAAATACCCTAGTTACCTAAAATATCTACCATATAATTAAATCTGATTATTTTAACAATGAAGACAGCATTACTCAAAGTTAAACTGGGGACCACCTGCAACACAGTAAACTGGCTACGAATAAAGATTTCTACCGAATCTTTTTGCTGGGGACAGGGTCCAAAAATCTGCATTTTAAGCCAATTTCTGGCTAGGCACAGTGGCTCATGCCTGTAATCCCAGCACTATGGGAGGCCAAGGTGGGAGGACTGCTTGAGCCCAGGAGTTTGAGACCAGCCCTAGCAACACAGTGATGTTCTGTCTCTACAAAAAAATAAACATTTTTAAAAATTAGCCAGGTGTGGTAGTGCATGCCTGTAGTCCCAGCTATAAGGAGGCTGAGGTATGAGGATCGCTTGAGCCTGGGAGATTGAGGCTGTACTGAAGCGTGGCTGCACTGCAGCCTGGGTGACACAGCAAGACCCTATTTCAAAATAAGTAAATAAAATAACCAAATCCCCAAGTTTCTTATAAATACATAAGTTTCAGGTTCATTGTCCTGGGAGATTTCTGAAAATGTCTGCATCCATACAGAAGTTCCAAATAGAGAATATGAAACATCATATTTCATTTAAAGAGTACCCTAAAGGAAGTAAACCCCTTAACATTTCTATTTTTTTTCTTTTTTTTTGAGATGGAGTTTCATTCTGTTGCCCCAGCTGGAGTGCAGTGACGCAATCTTGGCTCACTGTAACCTCTGCCTCTTGGGTTCAAGCGACTCTCCTGCCTCAGCCTCCTGAGCAGCTGGGATTACAGGCGTGTGCCACCATGCGCAGCTAATTTTTGTATTTTTTTTTAGCGGAGATGGGGTTTCACTATGTTGGCCAGACTGGTCTAGAACTCCTGACCTCAAGTGATCCATCCGCTTCGGCTTCCCAAAGTGCTGGCATCACAGGCGTGAGCTACCGCGCCTGGCCCCCTTAGTATTTTTAATGCATACGCTTTTTTTTTTTTTTTTTTTTTTTTTTTTTTTTTTTGCAGAACTGATGCAGCGCCTCATGCCTGCAATCCCAGCACTTTGGGAGGCCAAGGTGGGCAGATCACTTGAGGTCAGGAGTTTGACACCGGCCTCAACAAAATGGTGAAACCCCATCTCTACTAAAAATACAAAAAATCATTAGCTGGGCATGTTGGCATGCACCTGTAGTCCTAGCTGCTCAGGTGGCTGAGGCGGGAGGATTGGCTGAACTCAAGAGGCAGAAGTTGCAGTGAGCCAAGATGGCGCTCCTGCACTCCAGCCTGGGTGACAGAATGACAATCTGACTCCAAAAAAAAAAAAAAAAAAAAAAACAACAAAAAGAATGTTATTTCAGTGTAAATAATGTCCTACACTCTTATTCTAAAAGTTCTTTCTAGTACTTATGAGACTTCCAGGAAAGACAGTGGCACAGGTAGTTTGGCAGAAGATCCTTCCCTAAAACTAAAGGAAAGAAACAAAAAGGAAGTTAAAATATCCCTAAAATCATGACAAGTTCTCAAACTCATACCACGAAATTTTATTAAATAGTATCATTCAGGTACAGAATGAGTTAGTTGAAACTGAAAGACCAACCCCAGAATCCATACGTAAGTATCCTCTGCCCTCTCCTGCCCCCCAGAGAAATTTTGACTAGCATCTTCAACTTGCTAAGATGGGGACAGGGACTGCGGAATGCCCTACCTGAAGCTCCCTTTCTCTGATGGCCAAACAGTACTTTAGCAGGCAGGAGGATTTTATATTTTTACCTTTATCCAAAAGGAAGGATAAGGAGGAGAAAGGACTAATTACAAATAAATCAATCTCACCCCTAACCTCAGTACCATCAAAACAAATAAAGTCTCATGCTTCCAAAGTAGCAGATGAGATCATCCTGAAGCAGAGAGGGAAAAAGTCAAAGGCCCTTCTTCTACAAAATTAGAGAAGCTCTATTAAGCTTCCTAAGGCCTAACAGAGCTTAGCCAGGTGAATTCAGAGTCAAGTAAAAAGAGAATCTGCATTTCACGTTTTGGCAAGCAGCAGGTACTGAAAGGACCTACTAAAGAAAAAAAGAGTAGAAAAATCAGGGAATCAAGAAAAATTTTACAGGAAAGATGGAAAGAAGGGAAGAAAAGAGGGAAAGGAGGGAGGCAATGATGGAAGGAAAGAAAAAGGTGTATCAAAATAAAGAAAAAAGGCAGTAAAGAAGAAGAGAAGAATCAAAGAGGACACGGTCTTCATTTACTTATTTTGTTTTTTTTTCCATTACCAGCAGTTTGCCCTGATAGGACACAGTCTTCAAAAGGTAGATGAAATACATTCAGTATTAGTATTTATCACAGAAAATAGAAGAAATTTTCTGAAACAACTGCTTCGACATTCACAAGAAAAACAGATAGCATAGACTTTTATGATCAAAACAACATTGAAAGGGTAGCATGCAGAATTAAGGAAAGAAAATTACACAAGATAAATAAAACAGCATAACTAATAAATGCAACAACAGTCAATGCAGCAAAACCAAATCACTAGAAGAGAATAATTTTGAGAAAAGGTAAACAAGATGTCATGAAAAAGTACTACAGCATTAAAAAGGTTAGAGAGAAGATGATAGTTATGAAGATCCAACAGTTAACTGCTGCCCCTGAGATAGACAAAAGAATAAGAAAAATATAATTAAAGATATAACAGAATAGAAATGTCTTAACATGAAGGCCTAAATTTCATCAAAAGCTTTCACTGTATTTCCAGAAAAAAACAAAACAAACAAACAAAAAACAGACCACTACAAGCCACAGAGACTTATGCTTTGGTATATCAAAATAACTCAAAAAAAGTGTTATCTAAAGATAAGAAATGGACAATAAATTCATTTCAACACAGAAGTCTACATGACAATTTACTTTGGTTCTAGAATAGAAATAGTTCTGGAAAAGACTACAAAGTTACAAAGTGTAACAAACTAAGAACAGTATATCACAACATTTTAACAAAAATTGGGAGATTAAAATGAATGGAGAGAGAGGAAACTCAACAGACAGTAGTAGTATCTAAACTTACACTTTCATCTCTCATCATGTCAAGTAGGAGTCACTTGATACACTTTTTTTTTTTTTGGCTAGTTGATAATAAGCGAAGGCTTTAAAATTTTTTATTTGAAAGAATTTGTTAAATTCTACTATGGGTCTTGGAAATAACCCATAGTAGAATTTAAAACTAAGAGCATACTTTCCAAAATATGGTCTGAAGAAAACCTCTATCATATGGCAAATGAAGCAAACTGAAAAAGCATGAAAATAGAAATCACAGAATAAGAATGATTTGCACACACCAAGAGTTTGAGAAACATGCTCTAATGATGGAGGCTGGCTTAATAAGATTTGGGGTTTTCAATGCAATAGAATTCTTGTAGTATTGTGAAGAACAAATTCCACAAGAGAGATTAGAAGGGCACACGTGGCTAGAAGATACTGTTACAGAACAAATGAGAAGTCTGGAAGATTAAAACTTGAACATTAACAGTAGAAAGGAAGGAGGCATGATAAGCACAGAAAAGGTAAAGAACTACTGGAACTATTCTACTACAACACATACATTAGCTCATATGCAATCAGTAAATAAGGGAATTATGTCAGTACATTCAGAAATCACATTGGTTCATTTCCAATTTTTCCTAAAATGTTATTTAGTTTTTGCATTTGCAGGTAACAACAGTTAAATACAGCTAGCCCTGAGTAGTGCCACCACTTCTGGTCACCTTTACTGTTTTTAAAGGGAAAGTTCTAAATTTACCAAATTATTTGTTTAAAAATTTTAACTTATCTTTAAGCACACTACTATCTTTTTATTAGGTTTACATTAGTGCTTAAATTACAAAGATGCACAGATTTCAAATGGTCTGCTCCTAATCCTAGTTTTCCCATAAACCCTGTTCCTCTTAGTGCAGGAAGGCATACCTCAGATTACAGCACAAATGCCTTTGTCTGGCTGGCAAAATCTGAACTATGTTCTAATCATTTTTTTTTTCATTCATAACACGTAGTACTTTGAGAAAGAACATTGTTATTCTAGTATTCATTTTGGGATTCTACAGCAACTACACATTCCAATGTAAATACCCATAGGTAATGTGACTGGAGTTTTAAGCTGAACATAGGTGCCGTATGTCATTGCATTTCATCCCATTTCTTTCAAATACTTGCTGGGCACCACCTGTCCCAGGTACTATGCTAGATGCTAGGGAAACCAGTTCCTATTCTCAAGGAGCTCAGTCTATTTGCTTACTTGGATTTGATATCACTGAATTGGATTTGAAGGTCCACTAAACACTAAATACCACTTGCAATGCCTCTAATAAGTACTACTATTGGTTTCCTGACATCTTAATCTCTGAAGCTGACACAGCATTAGGCTTCAAAGTAAGCCATACTACTACTATTAAGTAGTATTATGTAGCTGAATAGATACTGATCTGATTCTGGGATATTTTGGGGATTATCATGAATTAACGAAAATGTAGTGATTCAGCAGGCTTAGAATATTTAAGTAATATTAGGCAGGCATTATATTTATGTCCCCACCCTCAGGGAAGTTACAGTCCAGCAAGTGGGCTAAGCACTACACTGGAAATAAAGCACACAATATAGTTTGCTAGGGCTGCCAAAACAAAGTACCAGAGATTATATTATGTTCACACAGAAACTTGTATACAAATGTTTATATCAGCATTATTCAAAACAGCCAAATGGTAGAAACAACCCAAATGCCCATCAACAAAAGACAAATTATGATCTCTATATATCTTATATATATGATATATATATTTAAAAATACATGTAATGAAATATTATTCAGCCATAAAAAAACCACAATGCTGATACATGTTACATCAAGAGTGAAGCGTGAAAGCATTATGCTGAGTAAAAGAAGCTAGACACAAAACGTCACACAGTGTATGATTCCTTTTACATAATATATCCGAAATAGGAAAAACCATGGAGACAGAAAGCAGGTTAGTGGTCAACAGGGTATGGGGGAAATGAAGAGGGATTACTTAATGCCTAGGGGTATTTTAGTAGGATGATGGAAAGTTTTGAAACTAAGGAGAGGTGGTAGTTGCACAACACTGTGACTACACTAAGTGCCACTGAATTGTACACAATATAATGGTTAATTGCATGTAATGTGAATTTTCAACTTCAAACACACATGTGCGCACACACCTACAAATACAGCCTACAAGAGAATACAGAGAATGACAAAAGTAGTTGGGGAGAATGGGGAAACTAGGGGTGGTTGTCCTCTACATTTTAAACTTCATCATGCTGCTACATTGCCCTAATAATTTTTTCTTTCTTTTTTTGAGACAGCGTCCCTTCTCTGTCATCCAGTCCAGGTTGGAGGGCAGTGGTGCCATCTCGGCTCACTGCAACTTTTACCTCCCAAGCTCAAGCTATCCTCCCACCTCAGTCTCTTGAGTAGCTAGAACTACAGGCACACACACTACACCTGGCTAATTTTTGTATTTTTTGTAGAGATAGGATTTCGCCATGTTGCCCAGGTTGGTCTCCAACTCCTGGGCTCAAGCGATCCATCCACCACAGCCTCCCAAAGTGCTGGAATTACATACAGGTGTGAGCCATGATGCCCAGCTAATAATTTTATTAGTCTTAAAATAGAATCAATTTTATATTTCTAGCTTGAAATAACACCAAAGATTTATTAATAGAAATGCATCACATGCATTAAAAAAACAAACAACAACAACAACAACAAAACAGGGTCAAATTATTTGGCAAAATCACTCATCTAATCCAGTCTCCAGATTTAGTTAAGCTCAAACATCATCCTAATGCCAAACTGGTTGTTAGTGTATATAATACTTGTATATAAAATCATAGTACAAGGCCAGAGAAATAAGTTGTAGTGACAAACTTCCCAATACAATACCTCCATTATAAAATACCAAAAATGTTCTAAATTTAAGCATGATAAACATTATATACTTAAAATACATAGTTAAGTGAAGCTAGTACCCTCCAAATGACACTATTAACATTTTCCAGGCTGGGCATGGTGGCTCACACTTGTAGTCTCAGCGCTTTGGGAGGGCAAGGTGGGCAGATCACCTGAGGTTGGGAGTTTGAGCCCAGCCTAGCCAACATGGTGAAACCTCTGTCTCTAATTTAAGAAAAAACAAAAACAAAAATTAGCCGGTTGTGGTGGCACACGCCTGTAATCCCAGCTACTTGGGAGGCTGAGGCATGAGAATTGCCTGAACCCCAGAAGCGGAGGTTGCAGTGAGTTATGATCACACCACTACACTACAGCCTCAGCAACAGAGTAAGACTGTCTCAAAAGAAAAAAAAAAAAATTTCCCAAAGCCTGAACTTTTTTTTTTTTTTTGAGACCGAGTCTTGGTCTGTTGCTTAGGCTGGAGTGCAGTGGCGCGATCTCGTCTCACCGCAACCTCTGCTTCCTGGGTTCAAGTAATTCTCCTGCCTCAGCCTCCTGAGTAACTGGAACTACAGGTGTGCACCACTACGCCCAGGCTAATGTTTGTATTTTTTTTTTTTTAAATTAGAGACTGGGTTTCACCATGTTGGCCAGGATGGTCTCGATCTCCTGACCTTATGATCTGCCCGCCTTGGACTCCCAAAGAGTTGGGATGACAGGTGTGAGCCACCACACCCGGCCTGAACTTTTTTTTGACATGAACTAAAAATTGTAAATTAGACTCTAATGTTAACTGAAAAGAAAAAGAAACGAGTCTGTTGAATACCAAAATTTGAGAGCAACAAATGAAACACTGAAATATCCAAAAGACGCTTACAAAGTTAAGAAACTAAAACCAGGTTCAAATGAAAACTTAGAATAAGATTTATGATGTAAAGTTAAAACTCTTCAGTCCTGTATCAGCTCCAAGACCTGGTCCCAGCATACTCAAACTTAAATTCTAACAAAGCTCATTATTCTCAGTTCACAGATCAGGTTTTCTGTCCTCTATTTTTCTCTCTCCCCCTATCCTAAATTTCAACTTGAAGATTCCAGGTATCGGTCAGGTTTTATAGAGAAACAGAATAAATCAGATGTGCATATACAAACACAGAAAGAGACTTAAGGAATTGGCCCAAGGGATTAAGGAGGCCTGGTAAATCCAAAATCTGCAGAGCAGGCTGGCAGAACTCCTTGCTCAGGGGTCAGTCTTTGTTCTATTAAAGGCCTTCCACTGACTGGATGAGGCCCACCCACAGATGGAGGCTACTCACAATCTACCAACTTAAATGTTAATCTCATACAAAAAATACTTAAACAGAAACATCGAAAATATTTGATCAAATATCTAGGCACTGTGGCCCAGTCAAGTTGGCACATAAAATTAGCCATCACCCAACTCCACCTGGGCTGAAATAATCTGTTCTTCCTTTGAAAACCACACAGCATTCTATCATTCTGTCTATACTACCCTTCTAGAATTTAAAGATCTGGAGAAAGATCTGTATCTAGATCATCTTTGCAACTCCCACAGAATCTAACACAGTGCTCTACATATAGCTGACATTTGAATATTTCTTGAATAAATCACACAGCAGAAAAAGCTATTAAGTAAGCTACTTCCAAAGTACTGAACAGTGTTTAATACCAAGGGAACTGAATTAAATTATAAAAGAAACTCACTTAGGATAAAATGAAAGAATGATTGTTTAGAGTAAATAACAACTGATGTTGATAGAATGGGAAAGTGGGAAAAACAAACCCAACCTCAGCATATTTAAGAACAGTCTACATGCAAAAGCAGCAAACCAGGAAACCAAAAAGTTACAGTTAGTATTTTTCTTCTCTTTCTGACATTTATATATATGTACAGCTCTTGTCCATTCGGTGCCATACACAAACTCTTGCTGAAACTATCTGAGATACAGAAACTATCTGAGATATGTTGGAATAAGGTATTATATATGGATTTAATACAACAAGGAAGGTTTAATTACTTAAATACTAAAAAGCACCACCTCTTCTACAACGCAGTACTCTTGCTCAGGCCCTGAAGGTAGCATGGTAGAAAGGTGACTCTGGGTTTTTTACTTAAGAGCAGAGCTTTACAAAAATAAGATTCGACAGTCCAGCTCTTGGAACCACATCACGGCCTGCTTCCACAAACTCTCACTTTTTGCACATCTGCACTCTCTTCTCTGGCCCCTTCTTCACCCTTACCCACACTACTTTCTTCCTGTTAGCAAATATTACTGCACTGAATGAAAACATCTGTCCCTCAGCCTCCACCATCTCTTCCTGAACCCACTACGAACTTAACACCCCTAACAGAGGCATTACTCCTGCCCTTGTGTCTGCAATATTCTCGATCACCTCACAGATCACATGCCAAGCACTGGCGACCCAATGACAAAAAACTACCTCCACTTCCAGAGGTCATAACCCAGATGACGTTCCTTGCACCTTCTGCAATATATTCTCAAAATCAACTTCTTCGCACTTAACTCTAGAGGTTACATCATCTTCGACTGAAAAAACCCCAAAGCCATCTTGTTAAGAGCCCATCTTGTCCTTATAAAACCAAAAAGGCAATTTGAAATTTTAGAGAGTGATGTAATAACAAAACAATACTGGCTCCTTAGAAGGTTTATTACAAAGCAAAACACATTTACAAAGGATCTCTCTTATGTAACTGAACATAACAGATAGCCTTAACATCTTCCTAGATAGCCTCTACATGTGGCTAATTCTAACTCATCTGTCAGGCCCCAGCTTAAATGTTGTGTCCTCAAGAACCTTGTCTCTGACGAAAAACAAAAACAAAAAACAAAAAAGCCCCCTCAGTTTTATCTAAGTCAACATTGCTAATAAAACTGCTCTTAAGGGATTCTAAAAATAGAAGCAATGTAATAATAACAATCTGTAACCTAAACCCCAAATTAGATAAAACCTGGAAAATGGGACAAAGGGAGAAAAGTGAAAAGATATGTTAAAACTTTTAACTTAGGCATAAGCAAAGGTAGCTTGTATTTATCTGGGTCTTGGAAAATTAAAGACATCTATGAACCCTCTCCCCAAATGTTTCTGTATGTAAATAAAAATTGCTTATAACTTCAGGGGATCAAGACTCCCTGAAATCTACCATGAACTCCATGTAATGAATCTATTATAGATAATGGCTAATTACTCCAATTGATAATTGATATAGAGAAATACAGTTGTTTGAAATTTAAGGTTTCTAAAAATGCAAGAATGTTTTAATATTAGGAAATCAATTTAATAATTTACATATTAAAAGCAAAGGAAAGGCTGGGCGCAGTGGCTCATGCCTATAATTCCAGCACTTTGGAAGGCCGAGGCAGGTGGATCACCTGAGGTCAGGAGTTCGAGACCAGCCTGGCCAACATGGTGAAACCCCGTCTCTTAAAAATACAAAAATTAGCTGGCATGGTGGTGCATGCCTGTCATCCCAGCTACTCAGGAGGCTGAGGTAGGAGAATCACTTGAACCCGGGAGGCAGAAGCTGCAGTGAGCCAAGATTGCGCCATTGCACTCCAGCCTGGGTGACAACTGTAAAACTCCGTCTCAAAAAAAAAAAAAAAAAGCAAAGGAAAGTCTAGAAAAGAAAGTAGATCAGAGGTTGCCTAGGACTGGGGGTCGTAGGCAGCTACTGACTAAACATCAACAAAGAAGCTTCTTGAGTTGATGGAATTGTTAGAAAACTGGACTGTGGTGATGGATACACAACTTTCACGGGACCGCACACTTACAGTGGGTGAATTTTATAGTATTGTAACTTATACCCAATAAAGTTAAAAGTTAATAAGTTAAACTTATAACCCAAAACTTACACCCTTCATCCCAATTACTTCAATCTTCTAGTTTCCATTGTGCCTGTTGATGTCAACTCCTGAGCCTTTTAGGAGTTTGGGGTGAAAGTCAAGTTACATCTTGGCTTTTCCCACTGACTACTTAGGTTGCGGCTCTCAACTTTGCTAAGTCATTTAAACTCATCTATTTGCTTTTCAGCCTTCCAAACTGTGTTGATGTTGTCTCCTTTCCAAATCTGTTTTGTCCTTTATGGGTTTATTTATTTATTTATTTTTTTTTTGAGACGAACTCGCTCTGTCACCCAGACTGGAGTGCAATAGCACGATCTCAGCTCACTGTAACCTCTGCCTCCTGGGTTCAAGCGATTCTCCTGCCCCAGCTTCCCAAGTAGCTGGGATTACAGGTGCACAACACCACGACTGGCTAATTTTTGTATTTTTAGTAGAGACGGGGTTTCACCATGTTGGTCAGGCTGATCTCGAACTCCTGACCTCGTAATCCGCCCGCCTCGGCCTCCCAAAGTGCTGGGATTACAGGCGTGAGCCACTGCGCCCGGCCGGGTTTATGTATTTTTTAAAAGTCCCTCTCACGTAGTTTTGATAGGATTTATCAACAGGAAGGAAAAGTAAAAGCATGTCCAGTTTGCTATCTTTACCCAATGGTTTAAATTTAATGTTGACTCTCTAAGCTGCTTTCAGTTGGGCATTCTTCCTTATGGCTGTTTTTATATTTTAATCTCCAAATGATAAAACCAAGAGACAGATATGAAAATATGATATAAGAGTGAAAAAGCAGGGTGGAGGATAAACGCATCCATGAGGAATTAAAAACAACAATAACAAGGCTGGGGAGCAGGAGGCAAGATAGAAATTATCTGAGATGGAGCTAGAAAGAGGAGGGGGAGAGGGGAGGGAGGGCGTGTCAGAGGTAGAGAGAATGAATGGATTTCTTAGATTTAAAGAGAGTTGACTCTTTTTTTTTTTTTTTGAGATGGAGTCTCACTGTCGCTTAGGCTGGAGTGCACTGGTATAATCTTGGCTCACTGCAAGCTCCGCCTCCCGGGTTCACACCATTCTCCTGCCTCAGCCTCCCTAAGAGCTGGGACTACAGGTGCCTGCCACCACACTTGGCTTTTTTTTTTTTTTTTGTATTTTTAGTAGAGACGGGGTTTCACCATGTTAGCCAGGATGGTCTCAATCTCCTGACCTTGTGATCTGCCCGCCTTGGCCTCCCAAAGTGTTAGGATTACAGGCATGAGCCACCGCGCCCGGCCGAGAGTTGACTCTTCAGATTCACAAGGTCCACAGAGAAACACTCAGAGGAAAAATCAAACCAAACCAAAAAACAAACAAACAACAACAAACCAGTGTGATCACATTTGTGAATTCCAGGAATAGAGAATTCTAAATAAAAGCTTCCAGAGAGAAAAGTGACTGAGAGTCAGACTGGCATCAGCAACCCCAGAATATTAGAAGAACAAAAAGCAGTAACTTCAAAGTTCCACAGAAAAAAGACTCTTAATTTGGAAATACATAGCCAACCAACCAGTCAAGCACAAGAAAACATAGGTTCACTAAGAAAATTTGTCACCTACATTTCCCATATATTTTATTTTTTAATTACAAAGATTCACTCAAGTAAAATTGGGAGGAGGAGAAAGAATCAACTGAGAGGTCAATATTGGAAACAAGAAACAGGAATCTGAGTATCTCTGAATAGACTAGTGAGAGATAATGGACCAGGGTAGTAGGGGTGGTCAGAGGTCAAATTCTGCATCTAGTTTGAAAGCAGAGCTGATAGGTTCGGATCACATGAGGTGAGACAGAGAGAGAGGAATTAAGGATGGCTCCAAGGTGTTTTGGTCTTACCAACTAGAATAGAGCTGTCATTTGATTAGATGGGGAAGGCTGATGGAGGAACAGGTTTGGAGCATGCTGAATTGAGATTCTAGCAGACTTCCCTACAAGTAGAGATGTTAAAGAGGCAATGGATATACAAGTCAGGAGTTCAGAGGAGAAATTCAGGCTAGAGATAGGAGTCAGTGATATACAGGTAGTATTTGAAACCAGGAACTAGATGGATGAGATCATCAAAAGAATGCAGATGATTAAATAAATGTTAACAGACAGAGAGAAAAGGGGAGATAACTGAGCCCTGGAGCTCTCCCAACATTTGGCGGCTTACAGGTTCAATCAGCCAAGGAGATTGAGAGGTAACCAGTGAGATATGAGGAAAAAAATGGCATACGATCAAGTTAAGAAAATGCTTCACAGAGAACAGACTAACTGTACCACGTAATGCTGACTGGTGAAGTAGAATGAGACTAAGAACTAACTACTGGATTTGGTAACATGGAAATCTTTGGTAATTTTGATAAGAAAACTTCATATGTAGGAATAAAAACCTTAGTAAACAGGGCTCAAAAATGAATGAACACCAGTGGTGTAGACAACTTCTTCAAGGGGTTTCGCTATAAAGGGAAGGATAGAAATGGGGTAATCATTAGAAAAGAGGAAATTCAGTTCAAGTACAGTGGGGTTTTTTGGTTGTTCTTAAGGTAGAAGAAATAACTGCCTATCTGTAAGCAGACAGAAAGATACGTTAGGGAAGGAAAAACTGAGGAGAGTAGAGAACTGCTGGAGCAATGTTCTTGAATCACCAAGAGGGGACAAATGCTGCACAAGTGGAAGGGTGGTCTTAGACAGAAATAAGAACAGTTTATCCATATTGATCAGAAAAAAACATAGAAGTCTGGGGAACAGATGCAGGTAACTGGGTATGTGAGGGGTAAGTTTATCAAAATTATCTTTCGTTTGCTGTTCTTTTCTCAGTTAACTGCTATAGAAAGCACGGTTAAGGGGCTGAAAGTGAATATGGGGGAGGTGTTGGAGGCTTGAGGAAAATGAATGGAATAGCCATGTAGAAAAGTGAAATGGATTATGGAAGTATAGTGTGACTGCTAGGAAGTGACCATGACTGCGGAGGCTAGCGAACATAAATTTAGAGTGAGGCTGGTCAGCACATCTGTGTTGATATAATCAGGGTTGTGATTTCTTGTATAAGACAGCAAGAGGGGAATGGGGTGGGGGCTGAGGGAATGTGTACTGACTGTCGTGGTTGCTCATGGAGTTGAAGCAGGATAAAGAAGGAAGTAAAGTTATGAGGGGAATGAGAGGACAGTGAAAGGCAGTAAGATGACAGTAGACTACAGTAGGTGTGAATGACTGACTGAGTTGGGCTACTAGAGAGACTGAGCACCTAGACAGAGAGGGAGATCGTGGTGGGAAATAACATGGGACAGCTATTCTCTATTAAGCACCAACATTAAACTAGTTACTTCTTTTATATCACCTCATTTAATTATCAGAATGACTCTGAAAGATGGGCATTATTATCCATCCCTATTGAAAAGATGAAGAAGTTAAAGCTAAGGTTAAATAACTTGTCCAAGACCAAAAAGCTGCTAAGTATTCCAACTGGCATTTTGGGTCGCATTTTCTTCCAGAAAAAAACAAACAAACAAAAAACCCTACAAAACTAGAATAAGGCCCTTGGGAATAAATTATTTTACAGACCAACTCACACTTTGTCCACTAAAAAACTTACTTCAAGCCAGACACTGTGGCTCACACCTGTAATCCCAGCACTTTGGGAGGCCAAGGCAGGCAGATCACTTGAGCCCAGGAGTTAGAGACCGACCTGGGCAGCATGGCAAAACCCTGTATCTACAAAAAACAGAAAATTAGCTGGGTGTGGTGGTGTGTGCCTGTGGTCCCAGCTACTTGGGAGGCTGAGGCAGGAGGATTACCTGAGCCCAGGGAGGTCAAGGCTGTGATCGTGCCACTGCACTCCAGCCTGGGCAACAGAGTGAGACTCTTGTCTCAAAACAACAACAACAAAATTTACTTCAATGGTATCTAGTTTTTAAAACAGCTAATTAATATATTATTTTATAGCATCATGAGAGAAAGACAAATTGTTTCTATAGCAAGCATCTTCTAGCACGGAATAATTAAATTCAAGTTAAACTATCTGTAGTTACTGCTATTATTACTGTGGCACTGAGTTAAATACAAAACTCCTGCTATGTATCATGCACAGATAAGATTTCTTTTTTCTTCCTACTTCCTTCCTTCTACTATTTTTTTTCTTCAGTTTTATGCTGTTTTCTTTACTTCCGACTTAGAAAATCATGGCTTACCTTACTTACCCCTACTAGAAAATGAACAGTTTCTGGCACCTGACTTCAGACTCCCAGAATTACCAAGTATTTCTGCGGACTATGTAACAATAATAAACTGTTTCCAAGGCTCCAAGTACTGGCAACATCACTAAATAGGGCAACAAAAAGAAACTGTGGCTTGAAGTTTCACTAGATCTTTGTCATTTTAGATAGTAATTTTGTGAATTGCTAGATTTAGATCCCCAAGTAATGCAAGAAATCAAATAAAGCACCCCGCAAGTATTTTATCCATCACACAAAGCTCTTCCACTCTCTCCAATAAGGTAATAGTTTATGACTATGTGACTAACATCAAGAAGTAGATAAATTATGCCAATGAGCCAGACTTAGCAGATGATTAAAGAAATCTGTTAACAATTTACTTGTTTTTCTATTCTTCCACCAATCTCTTGATTTTAAGAACAACTTATTTTAAAGGCAAGTGGCTTATATAATCGTTCTTCATAAAGTCTCTTTTCCCAGTGCAGTAGCAACCTGGTTTCCATTTGAATGATTATCCAGGTAAGCTAACTAAATGTAAGAATTTATTTTTTATAAGAATTTCATTCATTTTAGCCTATTTAGGCATCCTACTCACTTATAGACGTAGGTGCAAACACAACTGGAACTATTCCATAAAATATTCATACATGTCACCACTGTGTAATTTCTTCCTACACCCTGAATGGAGGCTTCCTTTAAACTTTAAATGAAAATTATAATTGAGCTTGAGTCACAAAGAGTTTACCTCCCCAATAATGTTAATTATGTCACTAGATTTCATCCTCTTGCATCCCTACTCACTGAAATTCTTCAAGATTTCTTAATGTGAGGCAGGATAATTTAATTTTATAGGGAAATGCAATTGTGAACATGGAAAAGCATTATTTGGAGGTATACCCAAGATACTTCTACAAGAACAATAAGCTAAAATGCTAAATCATTTCCATTTACTCACTAACTAAACAACCTTTCATACCAGGAGCTCAGAGTCTGGAGGTGAAGGGGAAGGTGAAGACAGACAATAAACACATATGCAAATAAGCAAAGAAGATTAAGTGTAAGTCATGATCAGTGCTGAGAAGAAAATAAATTCAGAGCTGTGACACAGACTACAAACTGCAACAAACTGCAGAAACAAACTGCAACACAGATCATCTATAAACATACATAGCAGATTGACATCAAAGCCTTTCTAGGTTGCCTTTATGACTTCTTGACATATGCTTAGGTTCCGAGGATCAAAGCCCCTCAAACTTACCTGTTTCACTTTCTAGAACTAAAGCTAGTCTGTGACATCTCTAGCAGAAAATAAGGCACATCGACCATTTCACAGCACCTCTGCAATTAGGCTTTTGATTATGTGGTGTGATAACTTATCCACACTGAAACATTTTCAAAAGAGAAAACAGATTATTATTATTATTTTGTGTTTTTTTTTTTTTTGAGACAGAGTCTCGCTCTGTTGCCCAGGCTAGAGTACAGTGGTGTGATCTTGGCTCACTCTAACCTCCGCCTTTCAGGTTCAAGCAATTCTCCTGCCTCAGCCTCTCAAGTAGCTGGGATTACAGACATGCACCAGCACGCCCAGATAATTTTTGTATTTTTAGTAGAGACGGGGTTTCGCCATGTTGGCCAGACTGGTCTCGAGCTTCTGACTTCAGGTGATTCGCCTGCCTCAGCTTCCTGAAGTGCTGGGATTACAGGCTATCATTGTTATTTTTTAAGACAAGGTCTTGTTCTATGTTTCAGGCTGGAGTGCAGTGGCATGATCACAGCTCCTCTTGGGCTCAAGCAATCCCCCTGCCTCAGCCTCCCAAGTGGCTGGGACGACAGACATGCATGCCACCATGCTTGGCTAATGCACTTTTTAAAATTTTTTGTAGAAATGGAGTCTCCCTGTATTGCCGAGGCTGGTTTTGAACTCCTGGGCTCAAGCAATACCCCGGCCTTGACCTTTTGGAAATGTTGGGATTACAGGCCTGAGTCACCCTGCCCAGCCGGGATGTTTTTAATAATTATGCCAGAGCAGGCACAAACAAGGACTTTCCACCAGGGCAAACTAGGCCATATGGTTACCCTAATTATATACCACATCAAATGTAAATAGCCAAAAATTTCAAGAGTAGTTTATAGTTCCAGATATATTTAAATTATAATATCCAAGCCCTAAATTATAATATGGACAATATAAACCAAGTGAATCCCTTACTAAATATAAAGCTCTGAATATCTCACATTGTACACAAAATCAATTTCAGATGCATTATAAACGTCAATGTGAAAAAGCAAAGCACAAAAAGGTTTAAAGATAATCAAAGTATCTCTATGATGTTTTAAAAAAAGAAACACTAGCCATAAAAAACTGATGAACATGTTTACATTAAAATGAAGAACTTCTGTTAATTTAAAGAAACTACTAAATGGAAAAAATGTTTGCAATATATACATCCAACAATGGAGATATATTCAGAATACAGAACTCTAGAAAAAGACGTGTTTCGATTTAAAAAAGGAAAAGATTTCAAAGGCATTTTATGAAAAATGAAATCCAAACACCCAGATATGAAAAGCTGGTCAGCCCCATTTAGTAATGAGGGAAATGATTAAAACTAAATACAACTACATACCCACCAGGATTGGCTAGAATTGAAATATATGATACCACGTACGGTTGTTGGTAAGGGATATGAAACAAGAACTCTTACATACTAATAAATGAAGTAAAAACCACTAAACAACTACTTTGAAAAACTACCTGGCATTACCTGATAAAGACCAACATTCCCCATGTTCTTGCAATTCAAATTCTAAGTATATAATCTCAAGAAAACGAAATAAACATGCACCAGTGCACTTAAACAGAAATGTTCATAAAAGCATTGTTTATAATAGCCCCAAACTGCAAACAATCTAAATGCAATATCCAAAACAATGGCAGAAGGAATAAACTTGTGTTATATTCATGATGGAATATTATGAAACAATAAAAGCTAAAAATAAAATATATACAACACAATCCTATTTACATAAAGTTAAAAATGGGCAAAATTAAACTCTATTATTTAGAGATGTAAACTTATATGGTAAAACTATAAATGTCAGAAGAACATTTATATCTAGCTTAAATTAAGATGGTGATAGTTGTGATGGGAAAATATAGGTGGTGGGAGGCTTCTGGGATGCTGGCAATGTCTGTCTTGCCCTGGGTGGTGGTTACAAAGATGTTTGTTTAAAAATATTTCATTTTTATCTTATGTATCTTTTCAGCCTGTGTAGTTAGGTTTCCCAATAACACTCTCCCTGAGAAATTAAAAAAAAAAAAGTTCAAAAGAGAATGCTAAGACTGTTACTCAAAGAGATTAACTCTTAATCCATAGTTTAAAAACAGTAACAGGGATCTCTACATCCAAATACACACTGTATTATAAATTCCATGAATAAACTTTTGGCTTCAGGCCGGGTGCAGTGCCTCACACCTGTAATCCCAGCACTTTGGGAGGCCAAGGTGGGTGGATCATCTGAGGTCAGGAGTTTGAGACCAGCCTGGCCAACATGGTGAAACCCCGTCTCTACTCAAAATACAAAAATTAGCCAGCTGTGTTGGGCGCCTGTAGTCCCAGCTACTCGGAAGGCTGTGGCAGAACTGCTTGAACCCGGGAGGTGGAGGCTGCAGCGAGCCAAGATCGCACCACTGCACTCCAGCCTGGGCAAGAGCAAGACTCTGTCTCAAAACAACAACAAAAAAAAACGAAAACAAAACAAAACAAACACTTTTGGCTTTAATCTTTTAGACTACCATTCTTCGTTCAAATTTTGAAATGGAAGGTGAAATTTTCTGATATCGAATTACTCAACAAGTCATGTAAATTTTAAAATTTTAAGATTGAACTCCTTGCTTCTAATCTTGAAATCTGAAATGTGTCCAGTATTGACTAGACAGTTATAATGTAGTTTTCGATTAGATAATATCATGTAGACTAATATATAAAGGTTTGATAATGTCAGTTTTTGCGAACATAATCAAATTCCCCAAACTGGTTACACATTTAACTCATGTTGCTTAAGAAAAAGCAGCCGGGTGCGGTGGCTCATGCCTGTAATCCCGGCATTCTGGGAGGCTGAGGCAGGTGGATCACTTGAGGTCAGGAGTTCAAGACCAGCCTGGCCAATATGGTGAAAGCCTGTCTCAACTAAAAAATACAAAAATTAGCCAAGCGTGGTGGCACGCGCCAGTAATCCCAGCTACTCAGGAGGCTGAGGCAGGAGAATTGCTTGAACTTGGAAGGCAGAGGTTACAGGGAGCCAGGATTGTGCCACTGCACTCCGGCCTGGGCAACAGAGTGAGACGCCATCTCAAAAAGAAAAAAAAAAAAGAAAAAGAAAAAGCATATAATGATGTGGGATGAAATATCAAAGCCATGAGTACAAACATAAATTCAATGATTAAAAAAATTTTTCACTGCTATATTCATATATTTATCAAGTCATGACACAAAGAACAAATTTATATTTTATGTCATTATGTCATATGAATTTAACTATTACAGACTAATGAAATACTGACTCTAAAAGCTGCTGAAAAGTTTTTTAAAATGTGGGTTGTTAAAATGTAGACTTTTGGGGTTCCTGCATAAAAGGATATGTTCGTAGTTTTTAAAAAAGAACAAAAATACTTTAAAATTTTCAAATGTATTTTTTTTCTTTGTGAGGAATAAAGGTAACACAGCCAACTTATTGAGTCACTAAGCTGGCAAGACACTTTTAAATTCAGATTAGGTAAAGCAATACTTTAAAACAAATTTATTAAACCACTTTAATGAGAAATTATTTTCAACCCATATCTGGCTCTCACCCAGCACTTTTCATAATTTCATAAAGAGAGGCTTTTTCATAATTTCAAAAAGCCAGAAAAACACTATACAGCTAAGTAACTATTGTATAAAAAATATAAAAATAAATTCAAAATAAGGCCAAGCAAAAACTAAGTTACTTAAGAAGCATCACTGGGAAAGTCTTTAATAAACACCAAATACCATCCATCATACATCCTATAGCCGATTTCTAACCGCCAAGTCTACAGGTGTTTTAATGAGGTAATGTGTCACTGCATAATGTTTCACAAGGTGAAGAGGGAAATGTGGGGGTACTCCCTGGTTTTTCATACTACTTTTAAAATTAGACTTGGTGATTTTAAAAAGTGTATAATTCAATGATCTTCAGCAAATTTGCAGAGTTGTGCAACTATCACCATCTCATACTACTCCTTTATGGTGTACAGTTCTGTAACATCAAAAGGTTCCCTACCCAGGTATAAGATTTGTCCCAACACCAGGGCTATTAAAAAGATTTACCAGAGGCTGGGCGCGGTGGCTCATGCCTGTAATCCCAGCACTTTGGGTGGCCGAGGCGGGTGGATCACCTGAGGTCAGGAGTTCGAGACCAGCCTGGCCAACATGGTGAAACCCCGTCTCTACTAAAAATACCAAATTAGCTAGGGGTGGTGGCAGGCGCCTATAATCCCAGCTACTTGGGAGGCTGAGGCAGGAGAATCACTTGAACCCGGGAGGCGGACGTTGCAGTGAGCCGAAATCATTGCCTTTGCACTCCAGCCTGAGCAAAAAGAGCTAAACTCCATCTTAGAAAAATAAATAAATAAATAAATAAATAAAGGATTTACCAGAGCATCCAAGAAATATTATTAAATACTTGATCCCGTGAAACCACTCCCCTATCTGTTAACGATTTTTAAAATTTTACAGATTTCGAAAATCTTCTTCTTTATCCTTGGACCTAACCTATCCACAGGGTCCCTAACCATGCTATGCAGTTCCCACCTCTACCAGAAGTGCTGGGAAAATCACCTAGGTTATCTAGCTTCCCTCAAAGTATTTTACACTGTTGTGAGATTTCCTTTAAGATTCAGGAGCTAAAGTTTATTTTCTTTCTGGTTTCCTGGCGGAGCAAAGGCCCTGCACGTGTGAACGGAAACAAAACCCACACAGACTCTAGGGATGCCAAATATTAACACTGTGGGTAGGGGCACCTTCCTTCTCGGCCGAATTCCCTTTCCCAGAGAGCCTCCAGAGGGATCAGTCAACGCCCACTGAGCCTGGATCAAAGGTCAAGCTTGCCTGGTCAAGAAGGATCCTGGATCAAGCTTGAACCCGTTTCCAGAAACAGGGGCGTCGGGGCAGCAGCAAGCATTTTTACCACGCGCCCTAATGAGGTGGTTGCACAACAGGCTTTGAGGATTCCGGTTTAACAGGTAAATACCAACAGAGGATGAGCCGAGGGAGATGGGATCTGCTCCACGGCATCGATGGCATTTCGAGAATGTCTGCGTCGCAGAGCAAACCCAAAGTTTTAGCACATTACTCAAGAGTTCACCAGAGGAAGATCGCCACGAATTGAAATGAACAAAGTGAGAAAATGGGTGCTGTGTAGTCAACGCATCCGCGATGAACTCAAGCTGGGCGGAAAAATTCTTTGAATACTCCGGCTTTGTTTTGTGCTAAGACGGCAGAAGCCCCGAATTTCGGAGTTGGAAGACGCGTTTCTCCGTGTTCTCCGGCCCGTTCTCGGACTTCAGGGCCGCCCGCCGCGCACTCAGTCCCGTAGTTCCCCGGGCTTCAGGCGCGGACATTCCGGGGGGCGGAAACCAGGGAGCCGCGGGGAGGCCGCGGTCCGGCCCGCGACGCCGGGGCCCGGAGAAGGGAGGCGAGAGGCCTCCCGGAGCTCGACGGAGGGAGGGGAGGGAACGAGGAGGCCGCGGGCCGGAGCGGGGAGCAGCCCCGAGCGGCGCCCGGCTCGGCCCCCACCCTGAGGCCCGGTCCCGCGTACCTTTGGCAAGGGCTACGGTGGAGTTTTCGGTGTCGATGGTGTAGAGGATGCCCTCGTAGCGGATCTCCGCCTTGGAGATGAGGCTGATCTTGCTGCCGATGTAAGGGGTGCCCCCGCTCATGGCGCCGCCGCCGCCGCTCCCAGCTGCTCGCAGAGAGGCAGATCCCACGCCACTGTCGCCCGCTCCGCACGCCCGCTCGCTCCGTCGGCGCCTACAGCAGCCGCTTCAGACCCAACATGGCGGCGGCGCCGGCTCCGCTACCCTCCCCCAGCCTCCCGCCCTCAAGCCGCGGCGCGGCGGCGGCGGCGGCGGCGGCAGCGGCGGCGGCGCGGGGCATGCTGGGAGGGCGAGGCCGCGCTCTCGCGAGACTTGGCCGGCTACTGGTGGCTCCCGGCTCATTCGTGGCCTCGGGAGTCCCGGCAGCGCTTGTTGGCCTGGACTACGGTGGTGGTCTTGGGGCCGCGTGAGAGGAACTTCGGGGACCGGCTGAGTGCCTCGTGGCACCCGCTTGCTGCGGGCTGGAGAGGAGGCGCGCGGCCTTCCTTTTGACTCAGGCCGTGGCCGCCTTGTCGTGGGTCCTGTGTCTTTGCCGACGCGGGGCCCTCGGCCTGGAGCGCTGCCCACCCGCCTCCGAGCTGTGGCGAGCCGCTGCTCATCCTTCTAAGACGCTGAACCTGCACCTCGTGGAGCTCCTACGGCTCCATTACCGCAGTCATCGCCCGGGGAGCTTCCCCCGAGGCTGCCCCTGGAGCTGGGGCTCTCACAAGGACTCAAGTGTTTCAGCCCCTTCCTGTCCCGCTCATTCAGCCGGTCTGAACCAGTTTCATGGCTTGCAACGCCATTGTAACTCACTAATCCCAATTATCAGTATGTAGCTTGGATCAATTCCGTGAACCAGGGTTTCTGTCGAATCTCAAACGTTAAGGGTCCAAAGCCATGCTCCCTGTTTCCCCTCTAACCTGCTCCTTCACCACCGTTCCCTATTTGATGTAAACGGTACCATTTTTACTCAGCTGCTCAGACTAAAAGCCGTGAGTCAGCCTTGCCCTGTCTTGCTTCCACATCTGTTCTGACTACACCTCTCCGTTATGTATACACAATATATCCTAAATCTGACTTCTCATCTCCATTCCTACACTTCTCCCACAAGCCACGATTACTCGGGCTGAATTATTGCAGTAGCCTTCTAAAAGTTGCCTCTGTGTCAACTCTTGCCCCCAGTACTTTATTCTCAATACAGCAGCCAGAGAGATCTTCTTAAAATCTAACTCAGGGCTGGGCGCAGTGGCTCACGCCTGTACTCCCAGTACTTTGGGGGCCCGAGGCGGGCGCATCACCGGTCAGGAGTTCGAGACCAGCCTGGCCAACATGGTGAAACCCCGTCTCTACTAAAAATATAAAAAAATTAGCCAGGCGTGGTGGCGCGCGCCTATAGTCTCAGCTACTTGGGAGGCTGAGGCAGGAGAATTGCTTGAACCCAGGAGGCGGAGGTTGTGGTGAGCCGAGATTGTGCCACTGCACTCCAGCCTGGGCGACAGAGCGAGACTCCGTCTCAAAAAAAAAAAAAAAAATCTAACTCAGATCATGTCCTTCCTCTACTCACTCTACTGATCCCATGTTACACAGAGAGAAAACCAGACTTTGGTGTCTAAGGATATACATGATTTAGCTTCTCGTTCTGTTCCAGTCGCGTCTAATTCAACCAGTACTTGAGCACTTTATTCCAGTCTCTGCTCAAGCATCACCTCCAGAGATGACGTCCCTGACAGCCTTGTTTAAAATAATACCACTCATCTCCTTAACTCAGCTTGTATTTTCTTTATAGCATGTATCTCTCTCAAGTATGTCTGTTTAATTATTTGTATGTATCTGTCTCCTTCACTAGAATGTAAACATTTTGAGATAGTGATGTTGTTTTGGTTGCTGCCGTATCATCAGGGGCCTAGTAACAGCACGTGGCTCAGGGCAGCTGCTCAGTTAATATTTGCTGCATGAATGAACAGCAGGATGAAGGCAGAGCACAGGCAGGACGGTGAGCTGAGTGAGCAAATGGCGAGAAGCCTGGCATCATAAGAGAGGGACACAGGAGAGAGACAGAGCTCTGATGGGGCTGGTGCACAGTGGCTACAAAGAAAGGTTTGGAAATCCCTGTTTCAGTACAAGGTCCATGCGAGGAAGTTGAATTATTTGTTTTTGTTTTTTTGAGACAGTCTCACTCTGTCACTCGGGATGGAGTGCAATGGTGCCATCTCGGCTCACTGCAACCTCTGTCTCCTCTGTTCAAGCGATTCTCCTGCCTCAGCCTCCCGAGTAGCTGGGATTACAGGCGCATGCCACCACGCCTGACTGATTTTTTGTATTTTTAGTAGAGATGGGTTTCACCATGTTGGCCAGGCTGGTCTTGAACTCCTGGCCTCAAGTGTTCACCTGCCTTGGCCTCCCAAAGTGCTGGGATTACAGGCGTGAGCCACCGTGCCCGGAAATTCTTTCAAGGCTAAATAATATCCCTTTGTATGGACATACCATATTTTGTTTATCCATTTATCAGTTGATGAACATTTGGGTTGTTTTCACTTCTGCTATTATAAATATCCATGAGTACCTCTATGAACAAGTTTTTGTGGGAACATGTGTTTTCAATCCTCCTAAGAATGAAGTAGTTGAGCCATATGGTAACTCAGAGTTTAACTTTTTGAGGAACTGTCAAACTGTTTTCCAAAGCAGCTACACTATTTTACATTTCCACTGGCAATTGTATGAGGGCTCCAATTTTCTCCACAGCCTCACCAACACCTATTATTGTCTATCTTTTTTTGTTTGTTTGTTTGAGACGGTGTTTCGCTCTTGTTGCTCAGGCTGGAGTGCAGTGGCGTGATCTTGGCTCACCGCAACCTCCGCCTCCCGGGTTCAAGAGATTCTCCAGCCTCAGCCTCCCTAGTAGCTGGGATTACAGGCATGCACCACCAAGCCCGGCTAATTTTGTATTTTTAGTAGAGTGGGGGTTTCTCCATGTTGGTCAGGCTGGTCTCAAACTCCCGACCTCAGGTGATCCGCCCTCCTTGGCCTCCCAAAGTGGTGGGATTACAGGCGTGAGCCACCGCACCCCGCCATTTGTGTATCTTTTTGAGACAGGGTGCCACTCTGTCATCCAGGCTGGAATGCAGTGGCCCTATCATGGCTCACTGCAACCTTCCTGGGCTCAAGCAATCCTCCACCTCAGCCTCCCAGGTAGCTGGGACCACAGGTGCAAACCACCATGCCCAGATAATTTTTGTATTTTTTTGTAGAGACAGGGCCTTGCCATGTTGCCCAGGTTGGTCTCAAATGCCTGGACTCAAGTGATCCTCTCGCCTTGGCTTCCCAGAGTGCTGGAATTACAGGCGTTGAGCCCCACACCCAGCTAAACACTTTTAAATTGGGCAATTTTTCTTTTTATTGTTGAGTGGCAAGAGTTCTTTTATATATTCTAGATACAAGTCCCTAATCAGATCTATAATTTGTAAATAGTCTCTCTTATTCAGCGGATTGGTTGTCTTTTCACTTTCTTGATAGTGTCCTTTGAAGCACAAAAGTTTTTAATTTTTATAAAGTCCAGTTTATTCATTTTTGTTGTTGTTGTTGTTTGCACTTTTGGTGTCATATGCAATAAAGCATTGCCTAATCCAGGATACAAATATTTACCCATAATGTTTGCTTCTAAGTTTTATGTGTTAGCTCTTACATTTAGGTCTTTGATTTATTTTGAGCCAATTTTTGTCTATGGTATGAGGGGGACTTCAAATCTTGCCTGAAATAGAGATGGGATTAAGAAGCTTTCAGATCAAACAGGAGATGGAGTGATTACAGGAGGAAGAGTGAGATGCATTCTGGAAAGTAAGCAATTCAGTGTGGCCACAGCCTAAAGAATGCAGAGTATATTAGGAGTTATAGTGGATAGCAGTGGCCACACCAAAGGTGGTGAGGGTTGAGGGCTTTGTTTCTCCCATATTGTCCAACAGCCATCCCCTAGCCTCATAAAGTAAAGACAAATATAAGGAAAAAACAGTGTACTAGCTGGGAATTGCTTTGGACAAGCCTCGCAAATCCTCCAGATCTTCTTTCTTACCCCATAGCTCCTCAAGTGTAGAAATTCTAGAGCTTCTACTGCTGAAAACATGAATGGGGAAGAATTTAGTTTTTCTGCAGGTTGCCGGGAGCTCTTAAGCAGGGAAGCAACAATGGATTTTGGATCTTTAGGAAGCCTGCGATGGTCATAAAATGTGTCACGGTTCTCAACCTTGTTTCTAGTACATGAAACGGAGATTAATGTGCATATTACACTAGGGGCTACCAACTGATCAGCTGCATTATACATAGTTCCTGCCGCCCTAGGGTGCAGGAAACCATGAGTTGCAAAACATAAAGTAGAATCTAACAGATTGGTGACTGATTGGGTGTAGCCAGATAAGGACTCCTAGTTCCAGGACTGAACACCTAGGTCAGTCCTAGGGCTAGTGATGAGCATAAGGAGAACGGATAAAAGGAAGTTTATTTGGGGGGAGGATGGAAATACTAATAGATGCAAATAATTTTGCACTTGTTGAGCTGGAAGTGCCTGTTGGGACACCAAGCAATTGCGTCTATTTCATAATTGGTATGACCCTAAAAGTCAGGAGATCTGAAATGGAGGTGTACATTTGGAAATTGTTACAGATGGAAAAAGGATAAGCTCACTGTCAGTGGCTCATGCCTGTAATTCCAGCTACTCGAGAGGCACTGCAGCCTGGGCGACAGAGCGAGACTCTGTCTCAAAAAAAAAAAAAAAAAAAAAAAAAAAAGAAACACCAAGAACAGGCAAATCCACAGAGGCAGAAAATATTAGTAGATTAGTGGCTGCAAGGGGCTGGGACATGGGGGTGAGGAGTAGGAATGGGAAGTCACTACCAAGGGGCGCAGGGTTTCTTTCTGGGGTGATAAAAATGTCTGGAAGTAGGATGGGCACAGGGGCTTGTGCCTGTAATCCCAGCACTTTCGGAGACCGAGGCTGGTGGATCGCCTTAGGTCAGGAGGTCAAGACTAGCCTGGCCAACATGGTGAAACCCCGTCTCTACTAAAAACACAAAAAAATTAGTCAGGCGTGGTGGCGCACGCCTGTAATCCCAGTTACTTGGGAGGCTGAGGCAGGAGAATAGCTTGAATCCGGGAGGCGGAGGCTGCTGTGAGCCAAGATAGTGCCATTACACTCCAGTCTGGACAACAAGAGTGAAACTCCATCTCAAAAAGGGAAAGAAAAAAGAAAATGTCTGGAAGTATATAATGATAATGGTTGCATGGCTTTGTGGATATACGAAAACCCACTAAATTGTATACTTTAAAAAGTGAACTTAGGGCCGGGCGCGGTGGCTCAAGCCTGTGATCCCAGCACTTTGGGAGGCTGAGGTGGGCAGATCACGAGGTCAGGAGTTCGAGACCAACGTGACCAACGTAGTACTAAAAATACAAAAAAAATTAGCTGGGCGTGGTGGCGGGCGTCTGTAATCCCAGCTCCTCAGGAGGCTGAGGCAGGAGAATTGCTTGAACTTGGGAGGCAGAGGTTGCAGTGAGCCGAGATCACGCCACTGCACTCCAGTCTGGGCGACAGAGCAAGACTCCATCGCAAAAAAAAAAAAAAAAAAAAAAAAAGAGTGAATTTTATGATATGTGAATTCTATCTCAAAAAGGCAAACTTTCCATGTAAAATGGCCCTATTAAAAACTAAGTTTATGTAGCAAAAACAGGCACTTGCTTTTGAAATAATATGTAAGTAAAAAAGCTGAATACAGAATTGTGTGAGTATAAAGACTTTCTTAAAAGGAAAAAAAACAAACAACATATGAAAATAAAGGAGGAAAGCAGTAATTTCCAAATGCTATGGTACCATGGTATTAGATAAAATTTTTTGTTTGTTTGTTTGTTTTTTGAGATGGAGTCTCGCTGTGTCGCCCAGGCTGGATGGAGTGCAGTGGCGCGATCTCGGCTCACTGCAAGCTCCACCTCCTGGGTTCACGCCATTCTCCTGCCTCAGCCTCCCAAGTAGCTGGGACTACAGGTGCTCGCCACCATGCCCAGCTAATTTTTTGTATTTTTAGTAGAGAAGGGATTTCACCGTGTTAACGAGGATGGTCTCAATCTCCTGACGTCGTGATCCGCCCGTCTCGGCCTCCCAAAGTGCTGGGATTACAGGCGTGAGCCACCATGCCCGGCCTAGATATAAACTTTTAAGGTAAGTTTTTGTCTCTGTATTAGTTAGGAGATGTGTTCTGTTTATAGGAACCACCCCCAAATTCAGTGACTTAAAACAATTATCACTTTATTATACCTCTCAATTTCATGGATCAGGCTTGACTAAGCAATTCAGTTCCGTGTAGCCTCAACTGGAATCATTGAGGGCAGCTTGCCTGGTCTAGAGGGTCCAAGATGGCTTTACTCACTTATCTGACTATTTCACAGGATCAGCTAGAAGTCCAGGAATTTTGTGACACTATTTGTGGCAGTGTTATTTTGAGTCTCTCCTGACCAGCAAACACATATCCTAAATGATGCAAAAGGCAAAGATATCTAACATCTACTGGTATTGTATACTTTGTAAAGTACACAAAGTCTACTTTGTGCTTGGTATTGGGTCAGTCATCTTACACACATTGGAGGAGACACATCTTACACAGGTTGAATTTTTTTCTTTTTGAGACAGGGTCTCA
This sequence comes from Homo sapiens, assembly GCF_000001405.40. Lineage (NCBI taxonomy): Eukaryota > Metazoa > Chordata > Mammalia > Primates > Hominidae > Homo > Homo sapiens. Next base: position 13,787 of record NW_003315963.1, on the reverse strand, counting down.
CTCTATGGCCCAGGCTGGGGTGCAGTGGCATGATCTCGGCTCATTGCAACCTACACCTCCTGGGTTCAAGCGATTCTCGTGCTTCAGCCTCCCAAGTAGCTGGGATTACAGGCATGCACCACCACACCCACCTAATTTTTGTATTTTTAGTAGAGACGGGTTTTCACCATGTTGGCCAGGCTGGTCTGGAGCTCCTGACCTCAAGTGATCCACATGCCTCGGCCTCCCAAAGTGCTGGGATTACAGGCACTTTGGGAGGCCAGTCCACAGGTTGAGTTCTAAAGCCATGTGTGTCTGTTGGTTCTTCTCAGAATTAGATGCTGAGCCAGAGTTAAGAGGTTTATTGGAGGTAATGCCTGAGAAAGGTAAAACGGAGAAGAAGCAGGATTGAGCAGGGAGAGCCCCAGACCGTACTGCAGATCTGACAACGTCTTGGCCAACCCAACAGGAAGCCCTGGAGTGAAGATGGCTCTTTGGAACAGAAATGGTTAGGCCCTAGTACCCCTGTTGTGTTCTGTCGTTGGCTGGGGTTGTCTGGGAGGAGCGTGGCCTTGGATTGAAAGAGGAAGTAGATCCTGTTGGCTAACTTCACTTCTTGGAACAGCACGATTAGTTCTTTCTGGAAACCAGTAAAAATTAGATATAGTGACTGGGCGTGGTGGCCTATGCCTGCAATCCCAGCACTTTGGGAGGCCGAGGCAGGCAGATCACTTGAGGTCAGGAGTTCAAGACCAGCCTGGCCAACACAATGAGATACTGTAAAAATACAAAAAATTAGCAGGGCATGGTGGCACACACCTGTTATCCCAGTTACTCAGGAGGCTGAGGCCCGAGAATCACTTGAACCTGGGAAGCAGGGAGCTGCAGGGAGCCGAGATGGCGCCACTGCACTCCAGCCTGGGTGACAGAGCCAGACTCCGTTTCAAACAAACAAACAAACAAACAAACAAACAAAATGTATATATGGTAAACAATACTCCAAAGTCTTATCCTGAGATTGCATCTCACCTTAGTGTTAGTACACTTGATCCCCAGATTAATGGATTTCTCTCTTTTTTAATTTTTTGAGACAGGCTTTTGCTCTGTCACCCAGGATGGAGTATAGGGTGCGAGCGCAGCCCACTGTAGCCTCAACCTCCTGGGCTCAGGGGATCCTCCCACCTCAGCGCCCCCAAGTAGCTGGGACCACAGGTGCACACCACCACGTCCAGCTATCTTTTTAAAGAGAGTGTATTTTTCTGTTGAAAATCTGCATCTTGTTGGCTTGGCACAGTGGCTCATGCTTGTAATCCCAGCACTTTGGGAGGCCAAGACAGGTGGATCACCTGAAGTCAGGAGTTCAGGACCAGCCTGGCCAACACAGTGAAACCCCATCTCTACTAAAAATACCAAAATTAGCTGGGTGTGGTGGCAGGAACCTGTAATCCTAGCTACTGGGGAGACTGAGGCAGGAGAATTGCTTGAACCCGGGAGGTGGAGGTTGCAGTGAGCCGAGATCATGCCATTGCACTCCTGTCTGGGCGACAAGAGTGAAATTCTGTCTCCAAAAAAAAAAAAAAAATCTTCATCTTCTTATCATTTTGTCTATTTTATGCTCTAATTTCATTAACATATTTATAGTAATTATCATAAAGTCCTTATCTGTGAGTTCCAGCATCTCAATCATATAAGAATCTGCATGTATTGTTTTTTCTCTTGATTATGCATCACATTTTCCTGCTTCTTTGCATCTCATAATTTTTAATTTTATGCCAGATATTGTGTCTAGCTAGATACTGTATTCTAGACATTGTAAAGAACCAAAGTGACGGAAGTAAATATTTTTTTCCCTGGAGAGGGCAAGCCCTTTCCTCTTGCCAGTCAATTAGGATGAGGAGCTTGATCAGTCAGATCCAATCAACAGTGGAGCTGAATTGGGGTTGGATGAATTGCAGATTTAGTTAGTTTTTGTTCACCTGGATTTTAAATGTCTTAAGGGCAAGATGTGATCTGCGTGTCTTGTGGGCCCCTTCTTCTAGTGGAATTTTGGACCTGAGCATGAAGAATTAGTGGAGTTTTCTGTCTGTCTTTCAATGAGGAAGACAGAAGACCCAGCCTCCTGCACTGTAACCCACTTAGCAAAAATGGAAGACTAGCACTGTGTTTTGAGTTCTTAGATATTTCCATCTGTTGCTCCAGCCCGTAGAGATGTTTAAAGAATCAGTGGTTTCTTCTTAGCCAAGGAGAGCCCCATCCTCTGTGGCAGGGCCCATCCTCTGCCTGCCCATGCCCAGACTTGGCAAATGCCCCCAATGATCCCTAATTTTTCCTACCTATGAAGCCTTGTCCTCTTTCTCTAGAATTTAGTTCCTTTAGACTATTTTATAGACATCTGAAAAATCAGTATGATATTTTACTTTATCTGTTTTCCCCCATCTTTACAGCAAAACTGGTGGCTTATTTAGATATTTACAGCCTAATTGGAAGAGGAATTTGAAAGATTTTTTTGGCCATATTCATTTTTAATTTTTATTTTATTTATTTATTTTTTTGAGATGGAGTCTCACTCTTTTGCCCAGGCTGGAGTGCAGTGGCACAATCTCTGCTCACTGCAACCTCTGCCTCCCAGGTTCAAGCAATTCTCCTGCCTCAGCCTCCCGAGTAGCTGGGGTTACAGGCATGCACCACCATGCCTGGCTCATTTTTGCATTTTCAGTAGAGACAGGGTTTCGCCATGTTGGCCAGGCTGGTCTTGAACTTCTGACCTCAGGTGATCCACCGGCCTTGGCCTCCCAAAGTGCTGGGATTACAGGTGTGAGCCACCACACCCAGCCTTTGGCCATATTTAAATCCATTAGGAACATATCTGTTATATCCTTAGGGAGGACCTCCTAGCTAGTTTTTTTTCTCTAGAGATAGACTGCTGGTCCTTCATTTAAGCAATATATAATGCTCTTGGCTTGCATTTGGGGGCCATGTGTTTTGGAAAATATGTCCCTTCGAACAACAGACCCACTCTCACTGGGTGAACCTCTTATTCTGTGAGAGACACTCTGAAACTGAGACTAATAACCATTGCTAGGGAAGGTGTCGCCCATCCCATACGTGCTCTGGGGTGCATGCACATTGAGTGGAATTGTTACTAATTCCTATCTTTCTCTTACTCTCTCTTGCCAAGGCAGGATCGTTGAATTGGTATAGTTAAATACATAGATGGTAAAATTTCATAGTTTGCTGCTTCTTAATTTAGTTAGAGCAGCCCTCTGTTACATGTCTTTATGTCTAATTTTAAAATGAGAAAACTAGCTGGGCATGGTGGCTCATGACTGTAATCCCAGCACTTTGGGAGGCTGAAGCAGGAGGATTGCCTGAGTCCAGGAGTTCGAGACCAGCCTGGGCAACATAGTGAGACCCTGGCTCTTCAAAAATAAAACAAAATTAGTTGTACGTGGTAGCACATTCCAGTAGTCCCAGCTACTCAGGAGGCTGAGCTGGGAAGATCACTTGACCAAGAGGTCAAGGCTGCAGTGAGCTGTGATCGTGGTGCTGCACTCCAGCCTTGGCAACAGGGCGAGAATGTCTCAAAAAAAACCCCCAAAAACAAAAAACGAAAACCAGCCAGGCAAGGTGGCTCATGCCTGTAATCCCAGCACTTTGGGAGGCAGAGGCGGGTGGATCACTTGAAGTCAGGAGTTCGAGACCAGCTTGGCCAACATGGTTAAACCCTGTCTCTACTAAAATACAAAAATTAGCTGGGCGTGGCGATGCATGTCTGTAATCTCAGCTACTCAGGAGGCTGAGGCAGGGGAATTGCTTGAACCCAGGAGGCAGAGGTTGCAGTGAGCTGAGATCACGCCATTGCACTTCAGCCTGGGCAACAGAGTGAGATTCTGTCTCAAAAAAAAAATGAAACAAAAACCATACACATACACACACACACACACACCCTCCCAACTCAAAAGCAGAAGTCAAGTAACTTAGATCTAGTATTAAGGTGGAAGTCGTGGATTTCAATCAAGTTGTTATAATTCCACAATGTGGGTGCTTTAAACCATTTTAGGATGGCAAATATAATTTTTCATCAAGTGACAACTTAAGCAGATGACACTGCTTGCCTGGAAATTTGTGTTGAGAAGGATTCTGAGATTGTGTCTGAGACATCAGGAGCTTGTACCGTGATCAATTACCAGTGCCTTCCATGGACACAGGGCAGAAGAATGGTGGCACCAGGTGCAAATCTGTCTATACCATCTGCCTCCTAAGTAAATGCAGTAAAAGCATGACTAAGTGCTTTGTAAACTTAATAGCATTCTACAATTAGTTTTATTATCCTTACCGTTTCTCAAATATTTGTCCAACTACCCTAACAACGAACAATAGAAATTGATAAGATATGTATGATTGGAAAGTAATCAAAATAATGGAAACTAATCTATAATTAATTTTTCTGAGTAAAGAAAAATTCCTTTTTTTTTGAGACAGAGTCTCTCTCTGTTGCTCAGGCTGGAGTGCAGTGTTGCGATCTCGGCTCACTGCAACCTCTGCCTTCTGGGTTCAAGCAATTCTCTTGCCTCAGCCTCCAGAGTAGCTGGGACTACAGGTGTGTGCCACCACACTCGGCTAATTTTTGTATTTTTTAGTAGAGATGGGGCTTCGCCATGTTGGCCAGGCTGGTGTTGAACTCCTGACCTCAAGTGATCCTCTGGCCTTGGCCTGCTAAAGTGCTGGGATTACAGGCATGAGCCACTACGCCCAGCCTGAAAATAATATTTCTAAAGCAAATTTGATGATGCCAAACCTGTCCCTCAAGACTCCCTGCCCACCCCACATCTTAGTCCATTTGGGCTGCTGTAACAAAATATCACACACCGGTGGCTTATCAGCAAAAGAAATTTATTTCTCATAGTTCTGGAGGCTGGGATGTCCAAGATTAAGGCTGACAGATTCAGTTTCTGGTGAGGACTGTCTCCTGGTTCATAGATGGCTGTCTTTTTGCTAAAACCTCCCATGGAGAAAGGGGCAAGGGATCTCTCTGGGTCTCTCTCTCTTTTTTTTGAGACAGAGTTTCGTTCTGTCACCCAGGCTGGAGTGCAGTGGCTCCACCTCAGCTCACTGCAACCTCTACCTTTTGGGTTCAAGCAATTCTCCTGTCTCAGCCTCCTGAGTAGCTGGGACTATAGGCATGCACCACCAGGCCCAGCTAATTTTTGTATTTTTAGTAGAGACAGGGTTTCACCATGCTGGCCAGGCTGGTCTTGAACTCCTGACCTCAAGTGATCCTCCCACCTCAGCCTCCCAAAGTGCTGGGATTACAAGCATGAGCCACCGCGCCTGGCCGTCTCTCTCTCTTTTGAGATAGGGTCTTGCTGTGTCACCCAGGCTGAAGTACAGTGGTGTGATCATGGCTCACGACAGCCTCAAACTTCTGGGCTCAAACAATCCTCTTGTCTTAGCCTCGTGCATAGTCACTGGGACTACAGGCATTCACCACAACACCCTGCTATTAAAAAAAAAAAAAATGTAATAGAGACAGTGTTTCACCATATTGCCCAGGTTGGTCTCAAACTCCTTAGCTCAAGTGATTCTCCCAGTCTGGCCTCCCAAAGTGCAGGGATTACATTTGTGAGCCTCCATGCTTGGCCAGAATCTCTTTTATAAAGGCATTAAATTTTTTTTTTTTTGAAACGGAGTTTCACTCTTGTTGCCCAGGCTGGAGTGCAATGGTACGATCTTGACTCACCGCAACCTCCGCCTCCCGGGTTCAAGCGAGTCTCCTGCCTCAGCCTCTTCAATAGCTGGGATTACAGGCATGCGCCATCACACCTGGCTAATTTTGTATTTTTAGTAGAGATGGGGTTTGTCCATGTTGGTCAGGCTGGTCTTGAATGCCCGATCTCAGGTGATCCGCCTGCCTAGGCCTCCCAAAGTGCTGGGATTACAGTCATGAGCCACAGCGCCCGACCCTAAAGGCACTAATTTTATCCATGAGGGCTTGACCCTCATGACCTAGTCACCTTCTAAAGGCCCCACTTCCCAATACCATCCCCTTGAGGGCTAAGATTTCAATTTATGAATTTTAGGGGAACATAAACATTCAGTCTGTTGTACTTCCCCCCATCCCCAAAGCCTTCAATGGCTTTAATAGCTTCTCCTTGCTCTTTTCTCTTGGAATATCCTGGGTTATGTTGTTTACAAAATCCTGTGTGAGTTGGCACTTGCTTAAATCTCTGGTCTCGCCTTTTGTCTCTCCCGTTTACCTTCCCCGCTTCTGTCTCTCTACTCCCTCCAAGCCTTAACTTAATAATATTTGTTTATTTATTTTGAGATGGATTCTTGCTTTGTCACCCAGGCTGGAATGCAGTGGTGCAATCTCGGCTCACTGCAACCTCTGCCTCCCAGGTTCAAGCGATTCTCCTGCCCCAGCCTCTCAAGTAGCTGGGATTACAGATGTGCACCACCACACCCAGCTAATTTTTGTATTTTTAGTAGACACAGGGTTTCACCATGTTGGCCAGGCTGGTCTTGAACTCCCGACCTCAGGTGATCGGCTTGCCTCACCCTCTCAAAGTGCTGGGATTACAGGCTTGAGCCACCACTCCCGGCCTAAAAATATTTTTTATATTGTCGGTATTAGTCCATTCTCACAGTGCTAGAAACAAATGCCTGAGGCTGGGTAATTTATAAGGAAAAGAGGTTTAATTGGCTCATGGTTCTGCAGGCTATACAGGAAGCATGGCTGGGGAGGCCTCAGGGAACTTACAGCTGTGATGGAAGGGGAAGGGGAAGCAGGCGTGTCTTACGTGGATGGAGCAGAAATAATGGTGGGGGGAGGTGTCACACAATTTTTGTTTTGTTTTGAGATGGAGTTTCACTCTGTGGCCCAGGCTGGAGTGCAGTGGCGCAATCTCGGTTCACTGCAATCTTTGCCTCCTGGGCTCAAGCGATTCTCCTGCCTCAGCCTGCCAAGTAGCTGGGATTACAGGTGCCCACCACCACGCCCAGCTAATTTTGGTATTTTTAGTAGAGATGGGGTTTCATCTTGTTACCAAGGCTAGTCTCAAACTCCTGACCGCAAGTGATCCACCCACCAAAGTGCTGGGATTACAGGCAGGAACCACCGCTCACACACTTTTAAACAGCCATGGAGATCTCTTGAGAACTCTATCATGAGATCAGCACTAGGGGGATGGTGCAAACCCATTAGAAACCACCCCCATGATCTGATCACCTCCTACCAGGCCCCCCTTACAACATTGAGGATTTCAACTCGACATGAGATTTGAGTGGGAATACAGGTCCAAACCATTTCATTATCATATAATATGATTAAATATAAATAGAGAGGTGAGTCTCACTATGTTGGCCAGGTTGGTCTTGAACTTCTGGCCTCAGGCAATCTGCCTGCCTCCGCTTTCCCAAGTGCTAGGATTACAGGCATGAGCCACTGTGCCTCGCCCCTCCAAGCCTTTGTCCTGTATTCCAGAAACCACATGAAACTTCTCCCAGATTCTCCCCGTCAAGCCTTCTCACTGCAGCTCAGCCTAGATATTTTTCAGTTCGGGAGACTTCTCACTGCTGAGATCTGCTGTCTGAGATAGTTGCTGATCTCGAACTCCTGACGTCAGGTGATCCACCCACCTCAGCCTCCCAAAGTCCTGGTATTACAGACATGAGCTGCCGTGCCTGGTCTCACCATTGCATTCTTAGTGCCAACTTGACCTGGCTCAGAGTAGGAACACAATAAATCTTGGTTAGATGAATTAATAGGTTAAATTTTTTTTTTGTATTGTGCTCACAGTAGGAGGTGAATTTTTTAAAAAATGGAACGTATAGAAGAAATCACTTCTAGCTTTAAAGATTTTGTTTTAGGTCAGGCCTGGTGGTTCATGCCTGTAATCCCAGCACTTTGGGAGGCTAAGGCGGACAGATCTCTTGAGCCCGGGAGTTGGAGATCAGCCTGGGCAACATGGCAAAACCCCGTCTCTACAAAAATTAGCCAGGCATGGTGGTGCATGTGTGTAGTCCCAGCTACTTGGGGGGCTGAAGCAGGAGGATCATTTGAGCTTGGGAGGTCGAGGCTGCAGTGAGCTGTGATTGCACCACTGCACTCCTACCTGGGGGACAGAGTGAGACCTGTCCCCTCCCCTCACCCAAAAGAGTCAATTTTAACACAAGGGCTTAAAATAAGTTATGTAGGACATTAATTACTGCACTCATGTTCTATGCTTAGTTTTTAAAGTGAAATGTTTTGCCCTAAATCCAAGTATTTTTATTCCTTTCTCCTTGTGTACTAAGTTAACATGCAGATTTCAAACTACCAGCTGAGTAGGTTTGTGTACGGTTTTCTTGTTACTCTGTGGCAGATACCCATGGCTTTCTCATTCACCCCATCTGGGCCTCCAGTGTGGTCTAATTATCCCAAAAAGCCAAGATGTGTTAGAGCAGAGCTTGATTACTCTAATGGTACAATGTTTTTACAAACCTTCTGATTCCTGAATAATCATCATTATCATATTTATGTGTTTAGCCAAAAGCTTAATTGGAAGATTCCAGAATGAAACAGTGCTGTAGGAGAAAAAACCTTCTAGTCATTTTCTTTGGAACAATTTTTTTAAAAATCAAAGTATCACTAATACATGCATAAGGTTAAACAATCAAATTATGCAGGAGGGTTTATGATGCATGGAGATCATTCCGGCCTCTCTCTCCCCAGCCGTGGTCCTATGGAGGCAACCATATTTAGTTCCTTCAGCTGTTTCTCCTGGTGGTTATTGTTGCATGGAAATAATAGGGTTACATCACTAGTTATTTTATTTTATTTTTTTGAGATGGATCTCGCTGTCACCCATCTAGGCTCACTGCAACCTCTACCTCCTGGGTTCAAGTAATTCTTGTGCCTCAGCCTCCCGAGTAGCTGGGATTACAGGCATGCACCACCTTGCCTGGCTAATTTTTGTATTTTTAGTAGAGATAGGCTTTCACCATGTTGCTTAGGCTGGTCTTGAACTCCTGACCTTAAGTGATCCACCCACTTCTGTCTCCTATAGTGCTGGGATTACAGGCCTGAACCACTGCACCTGGTCCTATTTTAAATTTGTGTTAATTTTAGGGGTACAAGTGCAGTGTTGTTACATGGATCTATTGAATAATGGTGAAGTCAGGGCTTTTAGTGTACCCATCATCTGAATAAAGTACATTTTGCCTGTTATTTTTTGTTTTTATTATTTTTTTTGAGACAGGCTGTCACTCTGTGGCCCAGGCTAGAGTGCAGTGGCATGATCTCTGCTCACTGTAGCCTGGAATTCCTGGACTCAAGGAATCCTCCCACCTCAGCCTCCTAAGTAGCTGGGACTACAGGCATGCACCACCATACCCAGCTAATTTTTGTATTTTTTGTGGAAACAGGGTTTTGCCCTGTTGCCCAGGCTAGTCTTGAACTCCTGGGCTCAAGAGAGCCACCCAACTAGGCCTCTCAAAGTGCTGGGATTATAGGCATGAGCCACTGCCCCCAACCTGTACCTGTTCATTTCTCATCATCCACTCTCCTCCCAGCCTCCCACCTTTCCTAGTCTCCAGTGTCTATCAGTCCACACTTATGTCCATGTGTACACATTATTTGGCTCCCACTTGCAAGTGAGAACATGCAGCATTTTTCTTTCTGTTTCTGAGCTGTTTCATTTAAGATAATGGCCTCCAGTTCCATCCATGTTGCTGCAAAAGACATGATGTCTTTTTCTTTTTTTAGAGACAGAGGTCTCCCTCTCCTGTCCAGGCTGGTCTCAAACTCCTGGCCTCAAGCAATCCTCCCATCTTGGCCTCCCAAAGTGCTGGGGTTGCATGTGAAGTGACACAATTTCTTTTTTTTTAATGGCTGAGTAGTATCCCATTATCACCAGTTCTTGATTCATCCATTTTGGAGATTGTCTATTGATTTCCAGCTATGATAAATGCAGATTTAGCTCACAGGCCAAGTACATAGAGATATTTTAAAGTTCTTTTCTATTCCTGAGTTATCTTTGTTTGCTCCACGCAGGCCTGCTGTCCAGGCTGTGTGCATGGTAGGGTGGGCCCGTTATGCACATGTGCTACTGGTTCTGACTATGCGTGGGTTTGGCTGTGCTGACAGTTACATAGCATGAAGATGTCCCTGCCTCCTCGTCCTGCTTTTTGCTTGCATATCTTAGTGTGAGTCTTGCATGTTGGAGACTTTCATCAAAGTCACCATATTGGAATGTATGTGAGAACGATGTCATAAATCATTTGTTGAGGGCCTCTGTATTTTTAGTGGACTCATTCACTGGAGGACTTCACTTAGGGTGATCAGGAAGGAAGCCATTCTCTAGACATTGGTGAACCTCCAATGACAGATTGTGGGTGTTTTAAGACATTTGCTTTTTTTTTTTTTCAGACAGAGTGTTGCTGTGTTGCCCAGGCTGCAGTGTAGTGGTGCGATTATGGCTCACTGCAACATCCACCTCCCTGGTTCAAGCAGTTCTCCTGCCTCAGCCTCCTGAGTAGCTGGGATTACAGGTGTGCACCACCACGCCTGGCTAATTTTTGTATTTTTAGTAGAGACGGGGTTTCACCATGTTGGCCAGGCTGGTCTCAAACTCCTGACCTCAAGTGATCTGCCCACCTCGGCCTCCCAAAGTGCTGGGATTACAGGTGTGAGCCACCGCACCCAGCCTCTTTTTTTTTTTTTAACAGAAGAACCCCTGCAACTTTTCTGGGGCGGGTGCATGTCAAGCTACTACATGGCTGCTGTGTGAGATGGGTGAGGGTCAGGGTGTAGGAAGATTCCACTCCATGTCTTACTTCTACCCTTTGCTCTACTGGGAATTTATGGGGCATGAGCCACTTGGTGGTCCCAAAGTATGGGTTGCTCCCTGCTTGGCTGCTATTCCCCTCTCCACCTCCCCTCCATGGCCATTCCAGTCCCCGTCAGCCTCTGCTTCACTTCGTCCATTACTGCTACCCTTTATTTTTGTGTGCGTATGATAAAATACACATAACATAAACATCACCATTTTAACCACTTCTCTGTGTACAGTTCAGTGGCATTAAATACATTCACATTATTGTGCAACCATGACTACCATCTGTCTCCAGAACTTTTCTATCTCCCCAAACTAAAATTCTATCCCCAGTCAGGCACGGCCAGCACTTTGGGAGGCTGAGGCGGGTGGATCGCTTGAGCTCAGGAGTTCGAGATCAGTCTGGGCAACATGGTGAAATGCTGTCTCTACTAAAAATACAAAAATTAGCCTGGCACGATGGTGCACACCTGTAATCCCAGCTACTGGGGCAGCCAAGGCACAAGAATCACTTGAATCTGGGAGGCAGAGGTTGCAGTGAGCCAAGATGATGCCACCGCACTCCAGCCTGGGTGACAAAGACTCTATCTCAAAACAAAACAAAACAAAACAAAAACAAAGCAAAAACAAAAAACAAAGCCACAAACACACAAATAAAATTCAGTACCAATTTAAACAATAACTCTTCATTCCCCTTTCCCCCAGCCCCTGGAAACCACCATCTTGCCTACTGTGGCTGTGAATCTGACCCCTCTGGGAACCTCATATAAGTGGTATTGGTCCTACAGTATTTGTCCTTTGGGTCCACCCTCTACTTTACATCTTTTTTTTTTTTTTTTTAATTTAATGACAGGGTCTTGCTGTCTATCACCTGAGCTGGAGTACAGTAGTGCAGTCATAACTCACTGTGGCCTCAAATTCTGATCTCAAGTGATCCTCCTGCCTCAGCCTTCAGAGTAGCTGGGGCTACAAGTACACACCAACATGAGCCTGGCTAAATTTTTTTTTGTTGTTGTTAGAGACAGGGTCTTTCTGTGTTGGTCTTGAACTCCTGACCTCAAATAATCCTGCTGTCTCAGCCTTCCAAAGTGCTGGGATTACTGGCATGAATCGCTGCACCTGGCTATTTAACATCTTTAATAATTCTGTTGAAATTATTTATTTTATTTTATTTTTTTTGAGACGGAGACTCGCTCTGTTGCCCAGGCTGGAGTGCAGTGGCTGGATCTCTGCAAGACACAGCTAACTTCAGATGGTGTGGCTTCAGGGGAAGATCACCTTCTTCCCGCACCATCCCCTTTCCAATTCCCATCCCTCTGAGAGCCACTTCCATCACCCAGTAAGATACCCCACATATGCTACCCTTCAATCCGTTCATGCAACCTGATCCTTCCTGGATGCCGGACAAGAACCTGGGTGCGAAAAGGGCAGGGGCTTGGATGCTGCTGTGAGGCCCATACAGAGCCTGCTCCCGCCAGAACTTGGTTCTAGCGTTTGTTCCCTCTGGTTCCCACACTCGCTTGCTCACACGCTCCCTCTTGCAAGGAGTGGCCAGCGGCAGGCTGAGCGAAATGAGCCACTCCAGTTCTCGCCCATGAAGGGGGTGAAGGTCAAGGGAACAAATCCCATCTCACCACCACGCCACACTAATTTTTAAATTTTTTGTAGAGACAAGATCTCACTCTGTTGCCCAGACTGGTCTTGAACACCTGGCCTCAAGCAATCCTCCTGCCTTGGCCTCCCAAAATGCTGGGATTACAGATGTGAACCACTATGCCTGGCCTCTTGTCTTTTTGTTCTATTCAGGGTCTCAATAGATTGGATGATGCCCACCCACATGGGTGAGAGTAATCTTTACTCAGTCACCTGTTTCAAATGCTAATCTATTCCAGAAGCATCTGCACAGACACACCCAGAAATAATGTTGTACCAGTGATCTGCCCATCCCTTAGCCTAGCCAAGTTGTCATGAAAAACCAACCATCACAATCTGTCAAAGGAAAGCAATGCCATGACAGTATTGGGAATCATGATCCAATGAGAAGACTTTGCATGTCATGAGATAACAACTAGCACATTGATGTCACTGGTATTAATGCTCTCTTATAAGCATTTTATCACTTGATCGTCATACTACCTGTGTTGTACAGGAACCAGTATCACCAAGTTCCTCTCTCGATAGTGGGGGCACTAAGGGCTGGGGAAGGTGATAGTCTTGACTTGAGGTGGTTGACGGCTGGGTCAAGATTTGTACCACAAGTTTTAAAGTCCAAGCCTCAGCTCTCTTATTACAGCACCCAGTTACAAAAGAAATTAATGTACTCAATATCTGATTCGGCTCTACCTCTTTGTGTGCAAAATTCCTGCTTTGCCCAACTTCTTATCATGAATAATTATGTGTTCTGATGGTGGCCTGAGTCAATGAAGAGACAAATAAGTAAATTATGCTAAGGAATGGGCCTAACTATTGGCAAATAAAATGATAGAGTAATTAATCAATATATTATTGCAAAACACTTTCATAAAATTGCTTTTTCTCTAGAGACTGAAAGTATTAAAAGAAACAACTTTTGGAGTTTATGGAAAGCAATTTTAGGATAAAAGTAAAAACACTGAGCAAAATAATGAAAAGAACAGTTACTATATTATAATAATTATGTAAATTACGTAATTTACATTATGTAGCTCTTAAAATTATAGGATGCCTTGCTACAAGTACTATATTATTGAAAGTGATATTTAGAGCAATAGCTGTCACTTACTTTTTGAGATTGTGAAAAGTTAGAAATATTTCATGGGATCACATTTTAAAGAATTGCTCAATGGGTGCAGCACACCAACATGGCACATGTATACATGTGTAACTAACCTGTGTGTTGTGCACATGTACCCTAAAACTTAAAGTATATATAAAAAAAAAGAATTGCTCATCTTTCTGGATACACTTGAGTGCTTATGCGACCTGGGTACCATATTGGTGTTACTTTGTTAGCTG